>NC_000006.12:64731594-65034624 GCF_000001405.40 Homo sapiens | reverse complement strand
ACTTGAAGGTGGAGCAGGGATATCACATGGCAAAAGCAGGAGCAAACAATATGGAGAGTCAGGGGGAGGTGCCACACACTTTTAAATGACCAGATTTCACAAGAACTCACTTACTATAGTAAAGACAAAACAAGCCATGAGGGATCTGCTCCCATGATCCAAACACCTCCCACCAGGCCCCATTTCCAGCAATAGGGATTGCCATTCAACATGAAATTCAAGTGGAGACAAATATCCATGCTATATCATTCTACCACTGGCCCCTCGCAAATCTCATGTACTTCTCACATCAAAAAATACAATCATCCTTCCCAGTAATCCCACAAAGATTTAATTCATTTCATTAACTCAAAGTACAAAGTTTTGCCTGAGACAAGGGAAGTCCCTTCTACATGTGATCCTGTAAAATGAATTTTTTGAAAAAACCTAGTTATTTACTTCCAAGATACAATGGGGGTATAGGCATTGGGTAAACATTGCTGTTCCAAAGGGGAGAAATTAGCCAAAAGAAAGGGGCTACAGGCCCCGTGCAAGTTCAAAACCCAGCAGGGAAGTAATTACATTAAGTCTTAAAGCTTCAAAATAATCTCCTTTGCCTCCATATCCTGCATCTAGGGCAGGGAACCCAAACGGTGTGTTTTCAAGGCCTTGAGTAGCTCCACAGCTTTGTCTTGGCAGTATTCAGCACCAGGGCTGCTCTCACAGATTGGAATTGAATTCTTGCAGCTTTTCCAGGCACAGGGTGCAAGCTGTCAGTGGATCTACCTTTCTGGGGTCAAAAGAAGAGTGACCTTTTTCTCACAGCTCCACTAGGCAATGCCCAATTTGGGACTCTGTGTGAAGGCTCCAACCCCACTTTTTCCCTCAGCACTGCCCTAGTAGTGATTCTCTGTGAGGGTTCTGCCCCTGCAACAGGCTTCTACCTGAGCACCCAGGCTTTCTCATATATCCTCTGAAATCCAGGAGGAGGCTGCCAAGCATTCTTCACTCTTGTATTCTGTGCCCCTACAGGCTTAACACCATATGGATTCCACCAAGGTTTTTGACTTGCATTCTCCAGAATGGCAGCCTGGAGCTGTACCTGGGTCCCTTTGAGCCACAGATGAAGCTAGAGAGGCCAGAACATGGGGAGCAACTTCAAAAGGGCCTTGTGACCGGCCTATGAAACGATTCTGTCCTCCTAGGCCTCCTGGCCTGTGATGGGAGTGACTGCCATGAAGGTCTCTGAAATACCTTCGAGGCATGTTTTCCATTGCTCTGGCTATTGGCACTTGGCTCCTTTTTGTTATGCAAACATCTCTAGAAAGTGATTACTCCACAGGCTACTTGAATTCCTCTTCTGATAAAGCTTTTTCTTTCTCTTCCATATGACCAGGCTGCAAATTTTCCAAACTCTTATGTTTGCTTCTCTTTCATATATAACTTCCAACTTTGGGTCATTTCTTTCTCCCACATCTGAGCTAGGTTGTTAGAAGCAGCAAGGCCACATCTTGAACACTTGGCTGCTTAGAAATTTCCTCTGCCAGGTATTCTAAATTATCACTCTTGATTTCATACCTCCACAGATCCCTAGGGCATGAACAGAATGCAGTCAAGCTCTTTGCTAGGGCATAACACATGTGACCTTTGCTTCAGTTCTCAATAAGTTCGTCATTTCCATCTGAGACCTCAGCAACCTGGGCTTCACTGTCCATGTCATTAGCAGCATTTTGGTCACAATTATTTAACCAATCTCTAAGAAATTCTAAACTTTCCCTTATCTTCCCATCTTCTTCTGAGCCCTCCAAACTCTTTCAGCTTCTGCCCATTGCACAGTTCCAAAGCTGCTTCCACATCTGCAAGTATTTTTATAGCAATATTCTACTCTTCAGTACCAATGTTCTGTTAGACCATTTTTCACTGCTATAAAAAGAACCCAAGACTGGGTAATTTATTTAAAAAAAAAAAGAGAGAGATATTTCATTAGCTCACCGTTCTGCAGGCTTTACAGGAAGTATGGTGCTGGCATCTGCCCAGATTCTTGGGAGGCCTCAAGAAGCTAACAATTATGGTAGAATTTGAAAGAGGAATAGGCATGTCACATGGTAAAAGCAGGAGCAAGAGAAAGAGACAGTGGTAGGTCAGGTGTCACACACTTTTAAATGACCAGATCACATACAAACTCATTCATCATCACAGAGATAGCATAAGCAATGAGGGACCTGCCCCCATGATCAAAACACCTCCTACCAGGCCCCCTCCAGCATGGAGGATTTCATTCAATATGAGATTTGGGACAGAACAAATATCTAAACTATATCACAACTCTTTTATATATGTCTGGTAGTATTCACCTCTGAATACATCTGGTCATGGGCTTTTTCTGGTTGGTAGGCTTTTCTGATTCAATTTCAGATCTCATTATTATTACTCTGTTCAAGGAATCAGTTTCTTCCTGGTTTAATCTTGGGAGGTTGTATGTATCCAGGAATTTATTCACTTATTTTAGATTTTCTAGTTTGTGTGCATAGAGTTGTCCATAATAGTTTCTTAGGGTTGTTTTTGTTTGTTTGTTTGTTTTTGTTTTTATCTGTGGGGTCAGTGGTTATGTCCCTTTTGTCATTTCTGATTGTGTTTATTTGGATCTTCAACATTTTAATTTGTCTAATTAGTGTATTATGAATCTTATATATTTTTTCAAGAAACCAATTTTGGGTTTTGTTTATCTTTTGTATGATTTTTCATGTATTAATTTCAGTTCAGCTCTGATTTTGCTTATTTTTTTTTCTGCTAACTTTCAGGTTTGTTTGTTCTTTTTTTCTGGTCCCTCTGAGTGTGATGGTAATTTGATAATCTGATATCTTCCTAACTCTTTGATGTGAGCCTTTAGTGCTATAAACTTTGCTTTTAACACAACTTTCACAATGTCCCAGAGATTCTGGTAAATTATATCTTTGTTTTCATTAGTTTCAAAAAATTTCTTGATTTTTGCCTTACTTTCATTGTTTACTCAAAAAATCACTCAGGAGTAGGTTGTTTAATTTCCATGTAATTGTATGGTTTTGAGAGATCTTTCTGGTATTAATTTTTATTTTTATTGCACTGTGGTCCAAGAGCATGGTTGGTATGATTTTGTTTTTTTGAATTTACTAACAATTATTTTATGTCTTATCACATGGTCAATTTTAGAGTTGGTGTCATATGCCAATGAGAAGAATATATATTCTGTTGCTGTTGAGTGGAGTGTTCTGTACATGTGTGCTAGGTCAATTTGTCCAAGTGTAGAGTTCAGGTCCCAAACATCCTTATTAGTTTTCTTCTTTCATGACCTCTCTAATACTTTAAGTGAGGTGTTAAAGTCTGCCACTATTTTTGTGTGGTTATAAAGTCTCTTCATAGATCTCTAAGAACTTGTTTTATGAACCTGGGTGCTCCAGTGTTGGGTGTGTGTATATGTGTGTGTGTGTGTGTATGTGCGTGTGTGTGTATATATATATATATAAAATATAAAATATTATATATAATATGTATAAATGTGTGTGTGTTTAGAATGGTTATGTCTTCTTGTTGAATTGACCTATTTATCATGTGTAATGCCCTTCTTTTATCTTTGCTGGTTTAAAATCTGTTTTGTCTGAAATTAGAATAGCAACCTCTGCTCTTTTTTGTTTTCCATTTGCCTTGTAGAATTTTCTCCATCTCTTTAGTTTGAGGCTATGGGTGTCATTGCATGGAATATGGGTCTCTTAAAGACAGCATACAGTTGGGTCTTATTTCTTTATCCACCTTGCCATTCTTTGCCTTTTAACTAAGACATTTACCTATTTACATTCAAGGTTAACATTGATATGTGGATTTGATCCTGTCATTTTGTTGTTTGTTGTTACGCAGACTTGATTGACACTATAAAGCAGCCCCTGAAGGGCTACTAACAGGTCCATGGCCTTTTTCTCTGACCCTCTCAACGTTAAGCACCTGCTGTGTTGGAGGAATCAAGGTATGCCCTGTCCACTGGCAACAATACCCCGATGGAATCTGTCAGCCAACATGCTTCACTGGAGCAGTGGCAGTGGGATCTCAGCTTGTGCATGCATGCCAGCAGCAATAGTGGTACAGTGGAGTACATGCATGTGGACAGGGTGCTCAGGGGATGCAGTGAGTTCTGCCTACACAGGTGCCAGCAAATCAGTGGGGGTGCTACAGGTGAATGTGTGCCAGCATAGTGGTGTGGGGAGGCTGCAGTGTGGGGATGCTGTGCGTAGTTGGGTGCATGCTGGCAGTAGTCTGTCTGCAGAAGCTCTCTGATGGTTAGGGAGGGTCTGTCAACAAAGGACCTATGGCAATGGCCACCAGGAAGCACCTGGTTGGGCATCTGACACTGTGCTGCAAGCAGCATCAGCCAAGCAGGGACCCTAGGAGTGGCTGGCAGAGAAGGGAAAGCTCAGGTCACATCCATCTTATTGGCAAGATCACCCTGCTTTGTCCAGGTCTGACAGTCATCAAAGGCTACAGACACTTCGGGGAATGTGGCCAGACTTGGGGGATGTACATCCCTAGCTGTTCTCCAGCTGTTCTTGAGCCAAACCCTCTGGAATCCACACAGGCTGGAGGTCTGACCTCTCTAAACAGCTCTTCTTGTCAGCTCAAATGTCCATGGTGGCCATGAGGTGTCCTGAAGCTAGCATTCTGGTGTTCCATAGTGAGAGTGGGCCATCCTCGCTTATTTGTCTCACCCCTTCCCCAGGACCCACTGGCACCAGGAATGCGTCCCTCATACTCAGCAGGCCAATGAAGAGATTCCAGATTGCTCCCCATTCAGCCCCGGGTATCCATCTTCTTTCCATCCGCTCTGAATTCCTTTCTTCCAAAGATCCTCACACAGTGTGCCAGTCTTCTTAATAGTCTGGTCTCTTGCTGGGAGATGCTCTTCCTATCTGCATTTAGTAGGCCATCTTGGCTCCTTCTCCTCTTGTAAAGTTCTTCATCCTCATCATCTTCAAATTGAATAGACCTCGGAGGAGGAGGAAGAGGAGAGGTTGGTCTTGCTGTCTTGGGGGTGGCAGAGGCAGAAGAGGTCAAGGAATTAGAAGGGGAGGCAGGAGAGGCAGGCACACTCCATGTAAATTTTATTGAAAAACTTTGCATATAAATAGACCCATGTCATTTAAACCTATGCTGTTCAAGGGTCAATGGTTTATCAGTATAAATCTGATATGAGTGTATATGTGTGCATGTGTATTTATATAATTCCTACAAAGTACGTATCTGCATATAAATGTATGTATATCAATATATAGACATAAATATATACATATGTGTATGTATGTATGCATACATACCCACACATGCACATATTTCCTAACTCTTTCCCTTTATAAGAGAACACTCTGATCACCTAGATCTTGATTTCTTAATATCATTCTCTACTTAAAGGAACCATACTTTTTACAGAAAAGATAAATTTCAAGCCTAGAGCAAGGAAGTTAAAAGAGAAACCTTAAATATCTTTTTTGCATTATAAAGAAGTACTCAAAGAAAAAGGAGAATAAATCAAAAGGACACAGGGGACAGCTCTACAGGTTTTCCACTGGCTAAGTAGGAGGAAATTTCAGCAGTAAAATAAATAATAAAGTTAATGTATTATAATTCACTGAATAATATAATAACTGATGATTCAATTCTTATATAAATGTATAATAAATTGAAAAATAGACAAATACTTAGGGAGGTATAAAGGCAAAGCTCTTCCTTATAGCAGAAAATCAACATATACATGAAAGTAAGGTGGAGTTGGAAAATTATCAATGATTGCTAAACTAGTGGGTGAAAGATTCTTTAACAAAAATACATGTTTATAGTTCTTAAATAACAAAATTATTCATTAAGTCCAAGGGGATAAATTACATAAATTTTTTACTGGAATAAGTTAACAAATATTAGAACAACCTAACTAAAAATGTCCACTGATATGCACTGAGGATAACATATCACTTCTGTTGTACTTCTTTCAAAGTTATATAAAACCTGAATTTGAATCAAAAGGTAACATCAGATAAACCAAAATTGAAGGGCACTTTTCAAAATTACTAGACTATTATGTGAAAACTATACTAAAAATCTACTCTCAGCAAATTTTATGTATACATTATTATTAACTATAGTCAATAGTATTGGTTTTTGTAATTGTACTATGATGATGTAAGAAATAACATTGTTCTTAGAAAACACATACTGCAGTAATTAAGGATAAAGGTTCATAATATTTCAAACTTCCTCTAAAATGTTTCACAAAAAGAATTATATATGATATAGATAATATATATTATTGTAGAAATGCATATAATATAGATAAGTGAACATAGAGATAAAATATTAAGGCAATTATAGCAAAATATCCCAAAACATTTTGGGACTCTGAGTAAAGCATTGGAGTTTCTTGCACTATTTTAATTTGTTTGTAAGCTTTAAGCTATATAAAAATAAAAAGTTAACAGAAATTGATCTTAATACTCCATGATGAGCACTGCACACCTCTTAGTAAGATAAAAATGAAATAAACACAAAACAAATGACAATAGTAAATGCTTGTGATGCAGAAGAACTCAAAGTGTAGTCATTGATGATGGGAATGCAGGATAGTAAAGCAGACTTTGAAAAGAAATCCGGCATAATAATTTAGTGTTAATTAAGTATTCACTTTACCATACAATCCAGCAATCAAGTATTTACTCAAGTGAAATAAAGATTTTGTTATATATGCAAATGTTTATAGGGTACATTTATACATATTCATATTCACCTTTATACGTATTCACCAATAAATGCAAACAAACAACATGCCTTACAACAGATGAACAGATAACTTCTGGTACATAAATACAATGATATACTATCTGGCACTAAAAAGGAACAAAGTGATTAATACAATACTGATAAGTCTTAAGTGCATTTTCTTACGTGAAAGAAGCCATACACAAAAGGTACCTATTGCATGATTCCACTTATACAGCATTCAGGAAAATGTAGAGCTAAATATCAGGACAGACAGCAGATCAGTGGTTGACAGAAAGTTGAGATTGGGATTGTTTTTAATGAGGCATTGAAGAGAATGTTTAGAATGCTGTAATTGTTTAATCCAGTCCTGTGATGGTACACATGTTTGTCAAAATCAATAGAGCTCTACCCTAAGTAATAACTTATTGTACACAAATTAAAAACATCAACCAGGATGTAGGAGGGTCCAATAACAGAAAGCAGACTGTCACAAATCTGCTAATGAAGACTGTCACAAAAACTTCTAATGAAGTCAGATTTATTAGAAAAGTTTATTAGAACTAGTTCATTAGAAAAGTATGACATTAGAAAAGTTAAGACATCACTAAATGATGTGGAAAGAAAAGGAACTGATCTAAATAACTTTAGAAACAAGAGTTTTGATTGACGACATTAAGGTAAAAGCTAAAATAACTGTACAAAAACATCATACTCTTTGGGGTAAATTTGTTTCTTACTGAGGTATAGATGCACAACTCTGAAACTACTTTACATGTAAAAGTAGAGTTCAGCAAGTAAGTAAATAAATTATAAATGGTAGCCAAGCTTCTCACTGTCAAAAAAAAAAAACACACATTACAAATAGGCAAGAGGAAGAGGAAAAGGGTAGAACAAATCATGTGGTGACTTTTTGACTGTTTAGAGTCAGAGATATCTGAATCTTTTTTTTTTTTTTGAGACGGAGTCTCACTCTGTCGCCCAGGCTGGAGTGCAATGGCACGATCTTGGCTCACTGCAACCTCTGCCTCCCGGATTCAAGCAATCCTCCTGCCTCAGCCTCCCAGGTAACTGGGATTACAGGCGCCCGCCACCACGCCCAGCTAATTTTTTGTATTTTTAGTAGAGACAGGGTTTCACTGTGTTAGCCAGGACAGTCTCGATCTCCTGACCTTGTGATCTGCCTGTCTCGGCCTCCCAAAGTGCTGGGATTACAGGAGAGAGCCACCATGCCCGGCCAATATCTGAATCTTTACTTGTTTCTTGACAGTATTTTCCAAAATGCTAGGTGGACTTTGGACTGTGCTCTCCTAATGCACCTTCTGACACAGGAAGGCAACGCAGGCCCATATAACATCCCCTCCCTTATTTGTAGCCCATTCATCTGTGCATAAATGCCTTCCTACATGTTTGTTTTATTTCTGGTCATACCCCTGGTCTTTTTTTCATGAGTCCCTTTGGCCTGGAATGCATTTCCTTCCTATTACTTTTATGCTTCTGTTAAGAAAGTTTAGAATTCAACAATTAACAACTCTAATTGTTAAATTCTAAACAATCTTCATTTAGTTATTTTCTGGAGAATGTCTACAGTGCAGTTCCAGCCTACAGTATTTAGAGCACCTGAATTAATTATGTTTGCCTAATAATAACCCTGTTTCATTTATGAAACTAACAGTGGATAGAGTTAATATAAACCATGTCATATTAGAAAGGCTATGTAAAGATTTCATAAATAAAATAAGCGACTGAAGAAGTCTTTTTCAATCTGTAAGAGAGGGACTGAAGAATTACTAGAAGATCATAGAAAAGTAATGACTGATGAAGAATGAGAGACACTGACACAGAATTGAATAAAAAAATACATATGGCAATTTAGAGTACTTTCAGACAGTTTATTAGGAATTTTGTATTTATGGACTGAGTTTTAAAATAAGCTCTTGTATGAGTGACTCACTGTATTAATCTTGAGAAAGTTGTGTGGAAGTTTCTCTGCCCTGGGGAGTTTTTTCTAATGGTCCTCCTTTGTATCCCAGTGTACCCTTTATAGAACATCATTAAAACACATATTTCTCTCACTGACAGACATCTGTTCTGTTACCTAAAATTCAAGATTCAGGAAGCAAGAAATTGTTTTGTTTTTCTTCCTCTTATTTATTTTTTTGAGATGATGTCTCACTCTGTTGCCCAGGCTGGAGGGCAGTGGGGCAATCTCAGCTCACTGCAACCTCTCCCTCCTGGGTTCAAACAGTTCTCGTGCCTCAGCCTCTTGCGCAGCTGGGATGAATGCATAGCTCTACCAGAGTACCAGTCTTATACCATGTTTCTTTACTGTTTATTTACTGAACAAAATAATTATTTTCAATCTTTTTACTGCTTGAATAACATATATTCTCTAAATGCATAAATGCAAATTAAATTTAATACAAAAACAGAGTTAAACATTTAGCATATCTCAAAGGATTCAGATTTATACATTCACTAAAATCCATTTGTTTAAAATCAATTCATTTTCATTATTGCAGAGATTTTAGTAGACATGATATGTGCATTTTGCTGTATTGTTTTAAGTGGGGTGATATGCAATTGCTCCAGTTTTGACATTAGCTGGTTGAAGTGTTTAATGTAATGGATTTGAGGGAAGTCAGAACTCTTAAAATCTGCTATAGCTAAGTATGGTTTATCAACTGTACACTTTTGTGGGTAATGCATATTGATTTTTAATTTTATGATAGGTACAAATATACTCTGTAAAGTCTATTGAATAATCTTTAAAATATTCAGAAGAGCACTTTTCTTGGAAATTTAAATGTGAATTAGCATTTCTCAAAATATAGTGATGTTTTTCATACATAAGAAGAGTTTCATTATATGAGAATAAGGTAGAGGTATTTATCTGCTTCTATTTGATTCAATTTTAGGCTTGTACCTAAATTCACTACCCTTAATCACCCTAGTTGTGGATTTATGCCATGAAATTGCTGAAACTAATCATTTGACTGATGATAGTCCTCAGTGAAAGCTTAGAGGTATAGCTGACCTTTTTCACGGTTATTTAAAAAAATCATTTTGAAGCACTCTCAAACAATATCAAATGTTAGTTCCTAGAACATAATATTTGGGATTTTTTTAAAGCTACATGAATATATTGCTTGCAAAGAATCTGAAGAATTAAACAATGGAATCATATTTATCAAAACCTATTATTTCCAACTTTTTGGCAACTTAGTGATTGAATAAAAAGCAAAAATGGAATTTATTTATATATGAAAATGCCTACAATATCTTCAAGTTAAACAAAAATACAATTTTGAAGAAGTAAACCACATTCGTGACGCATGAATTCTGAAAAACTGAAGCACATGGGCATTCTGAAGAACACTCAGCCCTGTAATGAGGTTGAATTCATAGATTCAGGGCCTGGACAGAAGCCTGGCTCCCCACAGACATCGCCCTGCATCTCCACTTCCTCAGGGAAGAATGGGAATGACTACAATACCTACTAAGGTTTTTCTGTGAGGATACAATGACTTGGTTATAGAAATCACTTAAAATAGTACCTGGGGTGTTTTAAGTTGTAAGGTTTTGCCATTTTTATGAATATTAAATCATGTCATTGCTATGAATGCTACTTAAATCTTGTGGGCCTCCTTCGTGAATAAAAGCTCCCTAGACATATGAGCACCAGCTATATTTTCATTGCATTGCTATATGTATTCACAATGATAGAAGTTTACAGAGGCTACAGATTTACATGAATTACTATTTTCTCAAGTTAAAGTTAGTTTTGTAAAAAGTGATGACAAAACCAGACCACCCAGAAGACTGAGGTTTGCTCTTGCTTTAAAGAAGAGGGCTATGGCATGTAGTAGGAGACTCCTTCCATCTTGACTAGTACGTTCTGTTTTCCAAACTTTTAACCTCACAAACCATTTTTTACTTGAAATCATTTAATTTATTGGACTGCTATGTATGATGTTTAACCTAGAATTTGAATTCAGCATCTTCTCTCAGCTTACTAGGTGGTGGTATATGAAGGGGCAAGTTACATCAACGTCTGTTTGACTACCCTACTGCCATTCCTACCTTATTATTGCCCTGCACTACACGTGCATACTTTCCTGTAAGACTGCTCTTGCGATTTCATGCTGCAAGCAAACCCGAGTCTCCTCTGTCTATGGAAGAAATTTCTGTGTCCACTTGTGCTGCTTCAACTGGTTTCAAAACTGGAAGGTCTCACTATAAAAGAGAGACTATTAAAAAATTCTAGTCCTTTTTCTTACTGCAAATTGTGGGAACTATGAATTTTTTCCTCTTTCTTCTCCCATTTTTCTTATTTTGGATTAACATATGTCAACGGCAGGAAATCCACAATTATCGCCACTTCAACAACAACAAAAACACAAAACAAACACTACAATGAAAACAATTTCAACAATTTTTCTCCCTTGAAGCCTAGCTTTTGAAATTAAAAATCTCTTTATATTTAGAGTATTATATCTGTTCCAGTGGTGGAGAAAAATAATCATTTGGAAATTCAATTGGATTTTTTTTTATTGCATGTGGTATCTGAACTTTTTCTGACACAAGCAATAAATAAGGTAACTGAGACTAACCAAGATTTAACAGTGACCGCAGTTAATATAATTAAAAAGATAATATTAACTTACTATAAGTTAATAGCTTTACTGAGATAAAATTCAATATTCAGTTGAGATATAATTCATAAAATTTACTGAAAGTAAATAGTTCAATGGATTTTAGGATATTCACAAACTTGTGCAACCCTCATCATCATAATCTAATAAGAACATCTCACCACCACCAAAATAAAAGCCATACCCATTAACAGTCCTCTCTTCCTACTGATCAACTTTCTTTCTTTATAAATTTTCCTATTCTGGACATGTAATATAAATGGAATTGTACAATATGTGGTCTTTTGTGACTGACTTCTTTCAAATTAATGTTAACAATTTCAATAGTATATAAAAACCTTGATACAACATATCTCTATATTCTCTCCCTCCCTCCATTGTACTATGTCATACAAATGATGTCTTTATGCATTATAAGTTTAACAATGAAGTTTTATAAATACTGACTTATGTAGATGCCTTTTAAATTAAATAGAAAAATAAAATTGTATTACATATATTGTATTTATGTTTAAAAAATAATATATATTAATATATAATATATTTAGTTTTATATATGTACTTCTTTTAAAATTTACCTGTGTATTACCTTTATCAATGCTCTTTATTTCCTTTTATGGATTCAAGTAACTGTCTTATGAGAGTTTATTTCAGCCAGAAGATTCCCTTTAGTATTCCTTGTAGGGTTGATCCACTGTCAATAAATTTGATCAGTTTTTGCTTATTTGGGAAGAGCTACAGAAAGAATAGAAATAGCCATAACAGCCTAGCCAAGATGTCATCATCAGTACTCCTCTTCCTGCTTAAAATCCACCTAACACCACCAATGCTACACCAGCTATTATTGTTACTATCGCAATAAGCATGCCTTCTGAAGCTTTCTTTTTATCCAATTAGATAAACTGGCATAATATGCCTCTTTTGGTAAGCCAGAGAGCAAATGGAGGAAGCATCTAGTCACCTGGGGTTCTGTAGCACTATGTAGGCAGTGGGATAAATAAGGTTAAAAATGATCTTTCAGCTAAGCACAGACTTAGGAGAAAAAAGAAATCCTCCACCAGAAAATCTGGATGCTAATGGATAGACGCTAGGCAGCTAAAACACACCATTATAGAAATTGAAGAAATATATGTTAAATTATTACTGATATGATTTGGCTGTGTTCCCACCCATATCTCATCTTGAATTGTAGTCCTCATAATTCCCACATGTTGTGGGAGGGACCCAGTGGGAGGTAATTGAATCATGGGGATTATTACCCCATGCTGCTGTTCTTGTAATAGTGAGTGAGTGAGTTCTCACAAGGTGTGATGATTTTATAAAGGGCTTTCCCCTCTTTTGCTCAGCAGTTCTCCTTACTGCCACTATGTAAAGAAGGATGTGTTTGCTTCTCCTTTTGCCATGACTGTAACTTTCCTGAGGCTCCCACAGCCATGCTGAACAGTGAGTCACTTAAACCTCTTTCCCTTTGAAATTACCCCAGTCTCAATTATGTCTTTATTAGCATGATGAGAATGTACTAGTACAGTAAACTGCTACTGGGTAATGAGGTGCTGCTCTAAAGATACCCGAAAATGTGGAATTGAGCTTGAAACTAGGTAACAGGCAGAGGCTGGAAGAGTTTTGATGGCTCAGAAAAAGACAGAAAAATGTGGGAACATTTGGAACTTCTTAGAGACATGAAGGAATCAGGAGACAGGAAGATGTGGGAAAGTTTGGAACTTCTGAGAGCCTTGTTGATTGGCTTTGACCAAAATGCTGATAGTGATATGGACAATAAAGTTGAGGCTGAGGTGGTCTCATATGGAGATGAGGAACTTGTTGGGAACTAGAGCAAAGGTGACACTTGTTATGCTTTAGCAAAGAGACTGATGGTATTTTGCCCCTGTCCTTGAGATCTGTGGAACTTTGAACTTGAGAGAGATGATTTAGGATATTTAGCAGAAGCAATTTCTAAGCAGCAAAGCATCCAAAAGGAAGCGGAGCATAAAAGTTTGGAAAATTTGCAGCAGCCTGATGATGCACTGGAAAATAAAAGCCAATTTTCTGGGGAGAAATTCAAACCAGCAGCAGAAATTTGCAAAAGTAATGAGGAGCAGAATGTTAATCACCAAGACAATGGGGAAAGTGTCTCTAGGACATGTCAGAGGCCTTCATGGCAGCCCCTCCCATCACAGGCTTGGAGATCTAAAAGGGAAAAATGGTTTGCTGGACTGGGTCCCGGGCCCCACTGCTGTGTGCAGCCTTGGGACTTGGTGCCCTGCATCCCAGCTGCTCCAGCCATAGCTAAAAAAGGGAAATGTACAGTTCAGGCTGTGGCTTCAGAGGGTGCAAGTCCCAAGCCTTGGCAGCTTCCATGTGGTGTTGGTCCTGCAGGCACTCAGAAGACAAGAATTGAGGTTTGGAAACCGCCACCTAGATTTCAGAGGATGTATGGAAACATCTGGATGTCCAGGCAGAGGTGGGCTTCATGGGTGGAGCCCTCACAGAGAACATCTGCTAGGGCAGTGCAGTAGGGAAATGTGGGGTTGGAGCCCCCACACAGAATCCCCACTGGAGCACTGCCTAGTAGAGCTGTGAGAAGAGAGCCACAGTCCTCCAGACCCAAGAATGGTAAATCCACTGACAGCTTGCACCGTGCCCCTGGAAAAGTAGCAGACACCCAATGCCAGCCTGTGAAAGCAGCTAGGATCGAGAGCCGTACCCTGCAAAACCACAGGGACAGAGCTGCCCAAAGCCATGGGATGTGATCTGGATGTGAGACATGGAGCAAAGGAGACCATTTTGGAACTTTAAGATTTAATGACTGCCCTATTGGATTTCAGACTTCCATGGGGCCTGTGGCCTCTATGTTTTGGTTAATTTCTCCCTTTTGAAATGGGTCCATTTACCCAATGCCTATACTCACATTGTATCTAGGAAGTAACTAACTTGCTTTTGATTTTACAGGCTCATAGGTAGAAGGGACTTGCCTTGTCTCAGATGAGACTTTGGATTGGACTTTTGAGTTAATGCTGGAATGAGTTAAGATGTTGGGGTACTATCGTAAGGGCATGATTGTGTTTTAAATTGTGAGGACATGAGATTTGGGAGGGGCCAGGGTAGAATGACATGGTTTGGCTGTCTCCCCACCCAAATCTCATCTTGAATTGTAGTTCCCATAATCCCCATGTGTTGTGAGAGGGTCCTGGTGTGAGGTAATTGAATCATGGGGGTGGGTTACTCTCTTGCCGTTCTCATGATAGTGACTGAGTTCTCATAAGATCTGATGATTTTATAAAGGGCTTTTCCCCATTTTGCTCGGCACTTCTTGCTGCCGCCATGTGAAGAGGGACATGTTTGTTTCCCCTTCTGCCACAATTGTTTCCTGAGGCCTCCCCAGCCACGTTGAACTGTGAATCAATTAATCCTCTTTCCTTTACAAATTACCCAGTCTCAGGGATGTCTTTATTGGCCTCATGAGAATGGACTAATACAATTACTAAGAGTTGGGTGCCTACCTGGAGTTAGAAATTTTGATTTTGAGATAATTCCTGTTGTCTTACCAGAAATAATCAGCAAGCTAGGCAAATGGACAGAGATAATGATATTAATGTCTTAAATTAATATGGTGCTTGGCAGGTACTTTTTGAAATGCTTAACATACCTTATGTCATTTATTTTGTACTACAAACCTATGAGTTGTGTGATGTTATTATCTCTATGTTAGGTATCAGAAATCAGAGGCATGGAAATGTCATATGCCTAAGATCACGTGTCTACTTAAGGATCAAGCAAGGGTTTGGATCCAAGCTCTTTGGAATGTTGTGTCCACATTGTTAGCCACACATTGTCTTGTGTGAATGGCTGAATTTTTATAAAATAGATATGACAGAAAAATAACAGGACAAGGATTTTGGAAGTGGCAGTGAGAGTGGTTTAAGAGATATAATGTTCAATTAAATATTTTTAGAAACGTGAGAAAAAATGTAAAAAGAATAAGAATGTTTAGTCTGTGCTTCTATGGTGGTACCTAGATTCACAAAAATTTTAATATAAAGAAATAATTTTCCTATTAGACTGAAATTATTATCAATGGGTTTATCTTAATCTAAACCATATGGTACCCAAAAATAAAATCCAAGTGGTGAAATCATCGGATTGATACAAAATATGGCACCCAGTCTTTCTCGTTCTACATTTATGCCACTTATTCTGGTCCCCATTTTGTGTTCATTGAGATAATCTTATAAGCTTTATTTTTATTTCTAGAATCCAAAATGATGTCATACAGTAAGGTCAATTTTTTTGTACCTATGATTTTTAAAATATTATTTAAGCTAAGATTGCAAAAAGCACAATCTAGCTATATTTAAACAACAACAACAATACAATTCAGAACTACTAAACAACAAGCAAACATATGCACACAGGGTATGCATATAGGCTTCACTAAAGGTAACCTTAGAGGAAATATGAGAAAGTTTTAGTAGAGAACAATTAGAAGAACATGGTCTTTTAAAAAAAAACTTCTAAACAAACAAACAAACCAAAAAACAAAAACCAACATACAGAAAAACCTCTTATGCTTCCTTCACATCAAAACACATTGTATTTGATTGAGTTGTGTCCTCCCAAAATTATATTGTTGTCCTAATTACTTAGCACTTTATTGTAATAATATTACCTTATTTGGAAATAGGATCAGTTCAGATGTAATTTGTTAAATTAAAATGAGGATATACTGGAGTAGGTGGGCCCTTAATCCAATATAACTGGTGTCCTTAACAAAAGGGAAAACTTAGACACAGACAAATATTGAGAGAGACCTTCATGTGAAGATAAAGGTAGAGATCAGGGTGATGCATCTACAACTACGGGATGCCAAAGATTGTCAGAAAAACACAGGAAGCTAGAGGAGAGACATGGAACACATTCTCTCTTACAGCCCTCAGAAGGAACCAACCCTGCCAAGACCTTGATCATGGACTTCTAGACTCCAGAATGGTCAAACACTAACTGTCTGTTGTTTAAGCCACCCAGTTTGTGGTGCTTTGATATGGTTGCCCTAGCATACCAATACATACATATATTACACATCTGTGAGAATGCAGTGTGTTTTTTTATCGATCACAGAAAAATAGACACAAGTACTCTCATTTCTAGTCAAAAGTAGAAGTATCTTTATTGGCATTCTCCACTTAAAGACCACCATAAATTCACCTGTCATTAGACAAACTTGAGTTTATTGGCTCCATACCATGAAGAATTTGGGAGCACTTTGTTAAGAGGGTTTCAACAGAGGCTTGAGATTCAAGCTTGGGTTTAGTGACTCTGGAGGTGGTTCCAGGAAGTTTGGCCTCTACTCTATGAGGTTACAAAGGGGAGTATTACGAAAATTGTTATCTAAAAGGTAATAACATTACCTATTACAAATAAAGCTAAAGCTTTAATTTGTAAAGAACTATAGAAGAGATAGGAAAGATGAATGTTAGCCATTTTGTGGTTTAGACAGCTTTATTGTTTTTGTCTGTGCTCAGATATGAGTGTGGAGTGATATTATTTTTATTTTGTTCCTTCATGAGCACAGACCTTGTCTGATTTTGGTGATCCATAAAATTGTTTACGCTCAAAAGAAAAGCACCAGGGTCCGATTATGCAGCCAGTCCAGCTTAGCTGATACTGGCGGGGCTGCTTTATTGACTCTCACTTTAATTACTCACAAAATATTTTACTAACATGAAGAAGTGATAAAAATCAATTCATTTGCTATTTAATGAGGTCAAGA
This sequence comes from Homo sapiens, assembly GCF_000001405.40. NCBI lineage: Eukaryota > Metazoa > Chordata > Mammalia > Primates > Hominidae > Homo > Homo sapiens. The sequence goes on along the minus strand of NC_000006.12, from coordinate 65,017,452 downwards.
AAGAACATACATGAACATGGATATTAATGTTTTATTTATTAATACTTGAAGGTATGCTTTTTAAAACAATAAAAAATTATTTAAAAGTGTAAGTCATAAATTTAAAATGAAAATAACTGACTTCATATGTTTGCATTCAACCTGGAAAGCGAATTTGCTTTCTCAGAGTAAAATAAGTACATTAATAATATATTCCAATTTATGACAATATTTGTAAAATGCATCTATAAGATTTGCCATTAGCATATTATTTCTAAAGGTTATGTGGAAAGTGGAGTTATTTCCATTGCTTTCTGTCTCACTAATCATTGTTAGATTTGAGAAGAAATTTGTCCAATGTAAATAGAGTCTAGGAAGCTGGGAGGGAATGGGATAGGGAGAGGGAAAAAATGATGTCTCCCCATAAAATTCATCACTCAGACTTCCTTGGTTTACATAAAATTTCTAGATGATAGATAGCAGCAACCATCTCTGGTCTTTTACAATGCACAAAATATCTACCACTTAATGTCCCTTAAAGATATACAATGTCCATTACCACTTAATGTCCCTTAAGGATATACAGTGTTAGCTAGATCTTCTGTTTAGTAAAAAGGACTGTCTTTTCATAGAACTTTAGTATATGAATAATGAGTTTTATGAAAATATAAAGAGAATTAGGACTTATCTTTAATATGTTGAGGTATGCTCCATAAAGAACTGTTTTCCTGCTATATGTCCTTTGATATTACTGCAGAAACAGAATTTATACTGTCCAGTCTAATCTTTTCATGTTTTTATTGCTGATTATTGAAGTTGGATGACTTGATTCTACTTTATTTAACTTTATAGTGGATTTCACTAAAGACTTCTGTAATTTACATATCCTACATGATGCCTCTTGCACAGAAAGATTATCTCCACCCTATTATTTACTCACTTTTTAACTATGTTTCTCTAAATATCTGAATTTTTGTTATCACTTTAAACATTTTAAACAGCAGATTTTAAGTTTATCTAAATCATGAGAAACTAAAATTCAAGCTACTAGACTCATATGAAGACATGCTTAGCATTTTCACATTTTTGTAAACATCTATATCCACTTACAGCTCTTAAAACTGCAATGTTCTTTAAGAAGTTTAACATATGAACATATGAAGTTTATCATAATGAACTTGATATCAAAAGTCATCCATACATTTGAAAGTAACGTACTAGTTTGATGCAAATTTCAATTAGAGGAAAAATATATATATACTTTTTTTTTTTAGTAGAAACGAGGTTTCACCATGTTATCCAAGCGGGTCTTGAGCTCCTAACCTCGGGTGATTTGTCCACCTCGGCCTCCCAAAGTGCTGGGATTACAGGTGTGAGCCATGGCGCCTGTTTTTTTTTTTTTCTTTTTCTTTTCTTTTCTTTCTTTTTTTGATGTGGAGTCTCGCTCTGCTGCCAGCCTGGATTGCAGTGGCACAATCTCAGCTCCCTGCAACATCTGCCTCCTGGGTTCAAGAAATTCTCCTGCCTCAGCCTCCTGAGTAGCTGGGACTACATGGGTGCGCTACCATGCCCAGCTAATTTTTTTTTTTTTTTTTTTTTTTTTAGTAGAGACGAGGTTTCACCATGTTGGCCAGGATGGTCTCAGTCTCTTGACCTCATGATCCATCGACCTCCGCCTCCCAAAGTGCTGGGATTACAGATGTGAGCCACTGCACCCGGTGGTACAATTTCAGTGGGAACCTCAGCATTTTTTATTTTCTGAATTGATGACATCATTGTAAAAAACTAATAAAAAACAGGTTTTTAATTTTTCCTACCAAATATGTATGCAGATAAAATGTGCCTTAGCTTCTTAACATTAATTTAAGAGAATATAGTTTTCAGCAAAATAAAACTTCAAAGAAATAAAGCAGCATTATATATATTTTTAGATACAACTAAGAAATACAATACAATGTGATTCTCTGTAAGGAGACCAACCATACTTTATTCCATTTTTAGGAAAGCTTTCAACAGTTCCTCAATGCACACCAGGTTTATGTTCTATAGATCACAAAGACTTGTAGGATCTTGTCCCAGCCTATGGAGATGTTATTTCAAATTAGTGAACTTCATTTAACACATCCCAATTTTCATCACAAATTAGCGTGATAACTAACACATTACATATTAACACAAGCATCTTTGAAATTGGGATGAGTTTTTCACAATAGTGATGTCTTAAATACTTTATCAGAATTTAACTGGCAGTTTTTGCTCTCTTTATTAGTTTCCTATAATGGCTGTAACTAATTTTCACAAACTTAAAACTGCACAAGTTTATTATTTTATATATTTGGAGGCCAAAGTCTAAAATGAGGTAGGTATTGCAGGGTTGTGTTGCTTCTGAAGACTTCTATTTTCTTGCCTTTACTAGATTCTAGAGGCTGCCTTTGTTCCTGGGCTCATGACCCCTTCCTTGCATCAATCCAAACTCCAGCTTTCATCTTCATGTCACCTTCCTCCTTTAAACTTCTTGCCTCTCTCTTATAAAGGCCCTTGGAAGACCCTTATGATTATAGTTAGGGCCTACCCAGATAAAATAGGATAAGCTTACCACAACAAAATCCTCAACTTAATCAAATCTGCAAATTCTTATTGGCCACATAAGATAGCACTCGCAGGTTTCCAGAATTAGGAGCTGGATATCTTCAACAGGGAGGTAGTGAAGGGAGTGGGAGGGCATCATTTTTTCTACCATGCTACCCTTAATGGCACATAAAATAAACTCCCTTAAAATCGATGGCATATTATAATTCCTTAAATGTGGTAATGCATCTCCTTCTTCCCTGTATTTTGTGTTCCATTCATATTGATTTGTTTTCAATCTCCTGAACTTTCTCATCTTCTGGCCCTCATCCTTCTAGAAAACTCTCCCCATCCCCTTCTGTATCCCACATGCCTAACCTCGATAATGTGTGATGATTCCTTAGGGCTCACTCCAAATATCACCTGTTCAGTAGGCTTTCCAATAGCACTGAAGATGTCTTAGTGGCCCTTATATTTGACTGTATTACTTTTCTGTGCTGAATAACAACTTATCACAAGCTTATAGATTTAATACAAGTCACATTTTTTATTTTACAATTTCTGCAAGTCAAAAATCTGTGAATGGTTTAACTGAGTTCTCTACTCATGGTCTCACAAGACTGAAATCAAAAGGTTGGCCAGGACTGTGAGCTAATCTAAGGCTCACGTTTCTCTTCCAAGCTCACTGGCTGTTGGTAAAATTTACTTCCTTGTGATTTTAGAACTCTGGTCTTTCTTTCTTACTGGCTGTCTAGAGTGTTCTTGGCTGCTGCAAACCAGATGCCATTCCCTATCTCATAGAGCTTTATAAAACACAGCTTTCATTTGCTTCTTTGAGGCAAGTAGGATAATGCCTCTGACTTCTTTTAAAGTCTTACCTGATTTAGTCAGACCCACTCAAGATAATGTGTCTTTTGATGGACTCCCTTATGATTCTGGGACTTAATTATATCCACAATCTTTTCTTCCATATAAAGTAAACAATTACGGAGTGACATTCAATCATATTCACATATCTTACCCACATTGATTTATTTACTTAAGAGAGAGAGTCTCACTGTTTCCCAGGCTGAAATGCAGTGGCTCAATCACAGCTTGCTGCAGACTTGACCTCCCAAGCTCAAGTGATCCTTCCATCTTAGCCTCCCAAGTAGTAGCTGGGACTATAGGTGTGCCTATCACCATCTCTTCACCACCTCTAGGGGTCTCACTATGTTGCTGAAACTAGTCTCAAACTTCTGGCCTCAAACAATCCTCCCACCTTGGCCTCCCAAAGTCCTGGGAATACAGTTGTGAGCCACTGCACCCAGCCTCACCCACATTTAAAGTGAGGGAATTACATGGGGTATGTACACTAGTGGTGGGGATCTTGGAAACCATATTGGAATTCTACTTACATAATGACTCTTTAGCAAGGAAATTGATCATGTTTACCACTTATTGCACCGATTTACTTGCCTATTTGAACCCATCATTGTTCTTTTAAACACCTGCCCCCCACCTCCCGCGTCTAGCACAGTGCTTGCCACAGGACAAGGGCTCATTACATATTAGTATAATGAATTCATGTACAAATCAACATGATATGGGGGTACAGTGAATTCATGTGTGTTCTGCAAAAGAAAATATCATGAGTATTTTCTCATATACATTGTTGTTCAGCTATGTAATAGATTATAATATACAAAATTATTTACAAAGCAACAGCTAAATTAACTTCCCACTAGCAAAACAAAACACCTAGTGTCACAATTAAATATTTAGCAGTAGGTAATTAGAAAGAAAGGGTATGCATGGGAACTTTTCATTAAAGACAATTCATTTTTTCTGCATGAGTAGATGTTTGTTCAATGCAATTTCCATTATTTCACAAAAACTTTGATTATGATAAAATAGTATCCAGAAATGTATTACTTATAATACATTTCAATCTCATAATAGTTTCAGAAAAAGATCTTGTTTCTATTTGAATTCTCTATACTACTAAGCATTGCTATTGCAAAAAGTAGCCACTTGATAGATTTTTTTTTATTGAAGGAAATTTTTATTTTTATGTTCTTGTGAAGTAGTTTTTTTTCATTTTTTTTTTTTTTTTGCTGTACTTGGAAAGTGAAGTCCTGAGCATCTCCATTTTGGTACAGTTTTATTGCTCTTATTTTATGGACACTAATGATATCAATTTGCTGCCTTTACTCTACAGATTGCTGATATCCTCAGCAGCTTCTAGGCAGTCCCCCTTACTATTTTTCTTGTGGTCAGAACTGGGAGAATCACAGGGACACTTGGCTTTTGTAATTTCTCAAACAACTATAGTACTTCTCAACTTTGAAACCTTTATCCCTTATCCTAAGTCTTTGTGTTATACCTTTATCCCTGTAGTTGTGAAATTACTGAGAAAACCCAAGCAGTTCAAGGACTTAATGATGACTGTATATTTTCTGCTTTAAAGTATTCAGCCAGGCGTTTTTAGAACCTATGTTTGTACCTATGTACTGTACATTTTAGTGAATAAGTAGCCTTATTTTTAAGTACTTTCCAAATAGGTAACATGTAAATATTTTTACTATGCCTTGAAAACTGACACTCAAATAATAATGTTGCTTTGTTGAAAAAGTTTGTGCTGCTTATACTGTGCTTTTTGTCTGATATGGTTTCTCTTGAATCAAATAATCCTATTTCTTAAATACTTGTGTACATTTCACACAATGGCAACCACTTTATATAATTACATTTTCTGAGTAAAATATAAAAAATTTTTCAGGATTGAAGTATTTCTATTAAGATTAGATGTTTATTACAATGTTCTTTTTCCATCATTTACTTGTTTTGAGAATAGCAACAAATCCTTCAAACAGAGCTTACAGTGATAGCAACCTCCAGGGTACCAGAAAGAAAATATAGGGAGCATCAAATTGTTAATAATCTACTTTCTTTTTTTTGCTGTTGCAAGATTTAATAGAGTGAAAACAGAGCTCCCATACAAAGGGAGGCGACCCAAAGGGGGTTGCCATTGCCAGCTCGAATGCCTGGGTTTATATCCCGATCATTGTCCCTCCCGCTGTGCTCTCGGGCAACAGATGATTGGCTATTTCTTTACCTCCTGTTGTTGCCTAATTAGCATTTTAGTGAGCTCTCCTTACTATCTGATTGGTCGTGTGTGAATTAAGTTGCAAGCCTCTTGTTTAAAGGTGGAAGCGGTCACCTTCCCAGCTAGGCTTAGGGATTCTTAGTCGGCCTAGGAAATCCAGCTAGTTCTGTCTCTCAGTTCCCCCTCTCAACAGGAAATCCCAAGAGCTGTTGGGGAGATTGTCCGATGACTGCCCTAACTGCTTCCTGCTGAACTGGGGCATAGTAGGGGTTGTGCAGTTGAGATTTCCTCGGGAGGGGTGTCTTCAATGTCATTAACTTCAGAGCATGGGCTAGCTGGTCAGTCCAGGGGTCTGCGGTAGACCTTAGTCATGGACTGCATTTGGGGCTCCATTTGAAGAACGATTTGTAGTTTTAGAGCTTCTATTCTGGAAGAGACAAACTTAACAAGGAGGTTAAAGATACAGGGATTGAAATGTATGGCCTGCAATGCAGGGGATTATTTCTTTGGCACACCTCACAGGCCCTGACTATCTGCTTGATAGTTTTGAAAAGGCCCGGTCCAGTAAATAATAATTTGGCCATCTGATCGGTGCTATCTATGCCTAAGTGAAAGGTTTGGTGAAGGGTTTTAAGTAATTTCCATTGGTTAGCTGCAGGCAACAGTATTTCTCCTTCTTCAGTGGCTAGCCATCCTGAGGGGAGAAAACTATGTCCTTGTGAGGTTCCCCATTCTACTTCTCCTGCTGAGTATTGGGGCTTGGTTTCCCGGAGGGGATTACCCCATACTAGGGATCCTTCTATAAGCATTTCTAATGGAGGGTCCTGCCTTGTGGCTCTTTTGGCTTCAATATCCGCTTGGCGGTTCTCTTCTATTTTCCTTTCCTTTCCTTTCTGATGACCCCAGCAGTGTAAGACAGCCACCTCTTTAGGTTTCTATACAGCCAATAATAATCTCCTAATGGCTTCCTGATGTTTGATAGGTGTTCCCTCGGAAGTTAGGAATTCCCTTTCTCTCCATATTGCTGCATGGGCATGGAGGACTAGGTAAGCATACTTAGATTCTGTGTATATATTTACCCTTTTTCCTTCTCCTAATTTTAGTGCCTGAGTGAGGGCTATTAGTTCTGCCAGCTGAGCACTAGTTCCTGCAGTGAAGGGATTACTTTCAAGTATTCCATTATCACTGACCACTGCATACCTCGCTTTTCAAAGTCCTTTTTCTACAAAGGAACTTCCATCAGTACACAAGTTAAGGTCGGGATCAGTCAAGGGAACCTCTAAAATGTCCCCTCAAGTGGCGTATGTTTGAGCAATTACTTGTTGACAGTTATGTTCTATCTTTTCTTCATTGTCTGGAAGAAATGTGGCTGGGTTAAGAGTTGCACAAGTGCGCAGTCGCAGCACTGGCCCTTCAAGTAATAGAGCCTGATATTTAAGTAAATGGTTGTCTGACAGCCACAAGTCTCCTTTAGCAGTTAGTATGCCATTCACATCATGGATGTCCACACAGTAAGATCCCTGTATTATTTTAACTGCTTCAGATACTAAGCCTGCTACTGCTGCCACTACCTGTAAACCATGAGGCCAACCCTTGCCACTACATCAGTTTCCTTACTCAGGTATGCCACAGGTTGCAAGCTTGTCCCTCGGACCTGTGTAAGGACTCCTAGAGCTATTCCTGTTCTTTTCTGTGACATATAAAGTCAAGTCTTGCCCCATTGACAAGCTTAACACTGGGGCTTGGGTTAGGGCCTTCTTTAGGGCCTGGAAAGCCACTTCTGATTCAGGTGTCCATCTTACTAAATGGGTATTGGATTTCTGAGTTTCCTTAATTAGTGTATATAATGGTCTGGCTATTTTGCCATACCTAGGAATCCATATTCGGCAGAAACCTGTTATGCCAAGGAACCTCTTAGTTGCTTTAGGGTTTTGGGATGAGGATAAGCCAGTATAGGCAGGATACATTCCTGACTGAGGGCCCTGGTGCCTTTGGATGATTTTAGCCCTAAGTATTTAAACTGCTGTGAGCAGAGCTGAGCCTTTTGTTTGGAAACCTTGTAGCCACAGGTAGCGAGGAAATGTAAGAGCTCTTGGGTGGCTTGATGGCACAAGGTTTCTGAAAGGGCAGCTAAAAGTAAATCATCCATGTACCAAAGGACAAGAGTGTCCAGGTATGAGAATTGACTCAAGTCTTGGGCTAATGCCTAATAGATGGGGGCTATCTCTGAACCCTTGGGGTAAAACAGTCCAGGTGAGTTGAGACGTTGGGTTTGAAGGCTCTTCAAAGGCAACCAAGAATTGATAGTCAGGATGTACAGGGATGCAGAAAAAGACATCCTTAAGGTCCAGGACTGTAAACCACTCTGCTTCCTCCGGTATTTGGGAAAGCAGAGTATAAGGGCTAGGTACAGCTGGGTATAGAGGGACAATGGCATCATTGATAGCCCTGAGATGTTACACTAATCTCTATTATCCATGGGGTTTCTTTACTCCTAAAATTGGAATACTGCAGGGGCTATTGCATGGTTTTACTAGGCCTTGGGCTTTTAGGTCCTTAATTTTTTGGAGTTCTTGTTGGGCCTCAGGTCTAAGGGGGTACTGCCTTTGGTAGGGAAAGGAGGTGGGATCCCTTAGTTTTACTTGAACAGGATGGGCATTCTTTGCTCGTCTATATTGTCCTTCTGTTGCCTAGACTTTAGGATTAATTCCTTCCTCAAGCAGGGGACAACCAACGGGTGTTCCTTCTCCTATGTTCACGTGTATAATGGCCCCTGCTTTTGCTAGAATGTCTCTCCCTAACAAGGGATTGGGGCTTTCAGGCATAATTAGAAAAGCATGTGAAAAGAGTAAAGCGCCCCATCACAGCTTAGTGGCTGGGAGAAGTATCTAGTGACTGGCTGTCCTAGGACCCCCTCGGATAGTGACAGATCTGGAGGACAGTTGTCCAAGACAGGAGAGTAAGACTGAGAAGGCCGCACCGGTGTCCAGGAGACAGTTAACCTCCTGGCCCTCAATGGTCAAGCATACCTGGGGCTCTGTGAGGGTGATGGCATGGGCTGGCGCTTGCCCCAGGCACCCTCAGTCCTGCTGGTGGATCATCTGGTTAGTGGCTTCTGACTCAGAGGACCTTCGTCCCTTGGGGCAGTGGGCCTTCCAGTGATTCCCTTGACATAAGGGGTATGGACAAGGGGGCAGCTTACTTCTACTTGGACAATCTTTTTTAAAGTGTCTTTGTAGACTGCACTGGAAGCAAGGCCTATTAGGCATTCAATTTTCCCAGCTTTTCCCTTTTCCAGAGCCTCCGAAGTCCGCTTGCCTGAGGGCCATGACTAAAGCGGTAGCCTTTTTTTTTATCCCATTTGTCCTGTTCCACCTGCTCCTCCTGATCTCTTTTATAAAAAACCAAGGTTGCCACGTTCAATAGGGTTTCTAAGTTTTGCTCCGGGCCTATGGCAGACTTTTGAAGTTTTTTTTTCTAATGTCTGCAGCTGATTGAGTGATAAATTTATCCTTTAAGATTAGTTGGCCTTCAATAGAATCAGGTGAGAGAGGTATGCTTCCTCAACGCCTCCCTTAGTCTCTCCAGAAAGGCGGTAGGATTTTCTTCCTTTCCCCGTGTTATAGTGGACATCATTGAATAATTCATAGTCTTCCTAGTTTTCCTTAGTCCTTCTAGCACGCAAGTTAGCAAATGTTTGTGGCACCAATCTCCATGTTCTGAGTCTGTGTCCCAGTGAGGGCCTATACTGGGAACTGCCTGCTGGCCTGTGGGGAATCATTCTTTTTCCTCTGTTGTCATCCTATCATTGACCTGACTGATATACCAGAGATCACCAAACTCTCGGGCTGCAGTTATGGTGGCACTTCTCTCATTTGGGGTTAGTGTCTGATTTAGCAGTAACATTATATCTCTCCATGTCAGATCAAAGGATTGCCCTAACTCTTGTAAAACATCAATATAGCCATCAGGGTTATCTGAGAATTTACCTAGGTCTATTTTAATTTGCTTTAAGTCTGAGAAAGAAAAAAGTACATGCACGCTGGCTGGGCCGAATTCTCCTCCTCCCACCGCTTGGAGGGGGCATAATTGGGGAACATTGGCACTCTTTGGTTAATTGTTTATTTATCTCCTTTTGGACCGTTTGGGTTGAAGGGGGGTCCTTATTCATTGGGGAAAGAGTTAGGGGGACACTGGGGTAGGGAGGTAGACTGAGGGCTTCCTGTAGGGCATAAATCACACTTTTTACATAATTGCCAGTTGTCTCTTAATGAAAAGAAAGTTTGTACATATGGCACTTCACTCCATTTGCCTTTTTCCTACAAAACAGGTCTAGCTGTAAGATGGTGTTATAATTTATACTTCCCTCAGGAGGCCAGGTTTCTCCCCCCTTGAAGAGGGTATAGTGGCCAGGCGGTACTGCAGAAGAATATAAGTCATTTCTTTCTTAGCGTCTGAGGGTCAAATTGGTCTTAATTCTCCAGAATACATCTTAGGGGCATTTTTGCCTTGGGGGAAATGTTTCCCATCTGATAAAAGGACATAGGGATGCCAGCACCCCTAGTCATTTTCCGATGAGCATTAGTCCTAGAGCATCCTCTATGGTCCTAATGCTTATTCCTTTCTAGGTGCGTAACCACCCATGGACCTCTGCTTATCTGATTAGTTACACTCACCTATGTAGCAGTCCTGCATCTGTTTTACCCGCCTCTCTTGACCACAAAAAAAGGGATCCAGGATGCTGGATTCTAGTGGTCCTTTACCAGCATGCCTAACATTGCCTTTGCACTCAGGGTGAGTCCTAGAGCTGGGCTGGGTTTCTGAGTATTTCACAACAACCCAGCTGCCCCATCAAGATGCATTCTTGTAAACAACAGTTCTTATGCAAATTCATTTCAGAGAGGGTGTAGCAAAACTTTTGAGTCTGGATTGAGATAGTCTTTTGATTCTGTAAGTACTTTAAGGCTTGGCTGAGTGCAAACAGTTTGCACCTTTGAGGAGACCAATTATTAGGCAATTTTTCTAACTCTGCTTCCACAAAAGTCTCCTTATCAATTACTGAATACCCATTGTGGTTTTTTCCTCAATCACCTGGGAGGAACCATCTATCATCCTGTCCTGAAGGGAGTTCCTCCTAGCTCTGGTCGGACCTTTGTATGGTAATTAAGATTTAAATCCCCCATTAGGAAATCTGCTGGGTTAAGGGAATTATCAGTGGTTGGAGTTACATTAGCTTTTTCTAACATAATAGCCCCATACTTTAATATTTTTGAGTTAGAAAGCTACCTTTTTGCTTTTTTTTTTTTTTTTTTTTGACTTAGAATAACTCTGAACTGGTGAGGTGTGCTCACAACGAGGTTTCCTCTAAAAGTTACTTTTCTACTTTTAGTGAAGCAGTTGTCCCTACCGACTGACTGAATGCATTTGGCCCATCTGTGGGTTACTGGGTTAAGGATTTGCTAAGCCCTTATTTACACTGACAACAAAGTGGCAATTATCAATTACAGGTTTTAAATTTACCCTGGCTTTTAAATGAATAGGGAACACTTTTTTTTTTTAACTATTAATATCTTTTTCTTTCTTTTTCTCTTTGACTCCCTTTTTGTCTCTCTCTCCGTCTCTCTCTCTTAGCCATTACAAACTTGGGGCCCTGGCACAGGTGGTGGGGAACGGGTCCCACGTAACTGCCCATGTAGACAGCTGTATACCTAAATCAGGAGGGATAACAGGGATAAGACTCCCTGGGTTATAGCCTAGGTGCCTAAGGACACAGTGTAGAGCCTCCTTAGATCCCTTTGGAGATACAACTTGCTAGAAGAAATGAAAGTCTGAACCATTAGTACCTAGGAGGCAGGGATCAGAGGAAGTAGATTCAGAGGTAAGGAGAATTTTGGGGCTACACTTTCAAAAAAGTCGTGGTCGGGACCCAGGAGGTGTGGGTCAGAAGGAAAGGTAGGGGTGCACGCATGGGCGACTGCTGGGTAGAGACTTCTGGCTGTGCCATGATCTTAACCGGCTACTGCCGGGAGTTCGGGACAGCTGCTTTCTACCTCTAGTCGGTCCTCAGCTTCTCCAAGAAAATTGAAAGTGGAAGCTGGCTCCAGGCAGATCAACATCCCCAATAGAAGGGTCGGGGGTTGTTAGAAAGCCCTTCCCCAGATAGCCTCACACCTAAGTCTTAAGTCCAGCGGCCATGCTAATCGTTTTTAACTGGCGGACAGGTGCCCGGTATTTTCCTCCAGTTCTAAGGAAGGATAGGACAGAATAGCAAGCGAAAGTGGTCCAACATTACCACTTTGGAGGTCCCTTCGTGGTCGCCAAAATGTTACCGGGTGGTCCTTGCTCACAGAGGTCCCAAGATGGCGGTGACCCGCTTCCAAGATGGTGGCAAGCCTTGTGTTCTCTGACCTGGGGCTCTTGGCCTCACGGATTCCGAGGAATGGAATCTTGGGCCATGCGGTAAGTGTTATAGCTCTATTAGAAGCCGTGGGTCATGGAAGAGAACCGTGGAACCCAGTGACTAGCGTTCAGCTCGATTAGGATGAACGCAGGCACTTAGCCGTGCAGGAACAATGGCAAGCCTTTAGCCCGATCGGGAGTGGCAATGGGCGCCTCGCTGGATCAGGAGCACAGCGGACATCCTGCCAGATCTCAAGGGATGGAAGTCAGCAGCTGGTCTGCAACAGTGGCAAACAGCAGTGGTGGACGGCAAGCGAAAGCTCAGCTCAAGCCATAACAAACATAGACCAGAAGAGTGCAGTTGCAAGATTTAACAGAGTGAAAACAGAGCTCCCATGCAAAGGGAGGGGACCCAAAGGGGGTTGCCCAATAATCTACTTTCTTAATTGCAATGTCTTCAGAGAACATTGTTGAACAAGAAGTGGGAAGTATGAAGAAACAAAATATAATTTTTAAAAATGCTGTCACTTATCATTGCTACCTGCTGGTACTTTGTTAGATGAAGCATAGAAATCATAAATAACATTTCTTTCTTAAATTGTAATGTAGAGGGAAAGGGAGAGAGAGAGAGAGTCACAATGATAATATGGAAGAGAATAGAGAATAAATTGGATGCCTTTATGCTGAAATATGCCAGGTGAATGACAGCAGTTGTAAGAATTGGTTCATTCAATAAGCATTGGCACTTTGATTCTTTCTTTTCCAAGTTATCACTGTGAATTTGGACCTTGCAAAGCTAGTGATTCTTGTGAGAATGGAGCTGTGCGTGGAGAGAAAATGGATTTGGAAATGTTTCCCCTTGAGTTCCGGTGCCAGTGTGCCAGCTTTTCAGGTCCACGCTGTGAGATCAATGTCAATGAGTGCAGTTCCAGCCCTTGCCTGCATGGATATTGCTATGACAGTGAGTTCCTTCAGCGGCTGCAATTATTGTAGAGCAGACCATTGTAGAATGTAACATAGTAATGGGAGAGTTTAGGATATAACCATGATTATTTACTGACTTTAGCCTGGCTTGAACATCAAAGTCAATGTCAGTTATCTTCACTAAGTACCCCCAATTTCTGACAAATTCATTTATATTTTTGTGAGTCACAAGTGCAGCGAATGAGGAAATCTAATGAAATGTGACTTTTCCTTTCTAGTGTCAGAATTAACCTTTGCAATTTTATTTGAAATGGTAGAATTTTTAAAAATATTCACCCTTAGGCATGAGAAAGCATTGTTTACAGTATTCAAAATAACATTAGTTTAGCCTATTTTATACATATATCACCCCACACACTCACACTTCTTCCTACTGAAATTTATATTCCTAAAAAAATATAAATTTATAGAGGAAAAAGACAGGAAGAAAAGAAGGAAAGAGGGAAAAGTAAGATGGAAACATGGATTTTTCTGTGGAAGAACATGCCTAAAATGGGTAATTTTGTTGAGACACAGAAAACGAAATGACATTATATACAGAATGTGGCTGAGGCATAAAAAGGAGAAACAGAAATAAACAAAGGTCTAGAAGGGTGTTGCAAAAAACTATCTTATTTGGTTTTATCTCACCTCCTTTAAAATATATTTCTACATGATCCCTCAGTATCAGGTAACCTGCCCTGATATTCACGTAGGTTCTTTTCTATTTTCCTTAAGTGCCGGCCGGCTTGAGAAATAAAGGGACAGAGTACAAAAGAGAGAAATTTTAAAGCTGGGCATCCGGGGGAGACATCCCATGTTGGTAGGTTCTGTGATGCCCCACAAGACACAAAACCCAGCAAGTTTTTATTAGGGAGTTTCAAAAGGGGAGGGAGTGTGCGAATAGGTGTGGGTCACAGACATCAAGTACTTTACAAGGTAATAGAATATCACAAGGCAAGTGGAGGCAGGGCAAGATCACAGGACCACAGGACTGAGGTGAAATTAAAATTGCTAATGAAGTTTCGGGCACCATTTCGTTGATAACATCTTATCAGGAGACAGGGTTTTGAGAGCAACCGGTCTGACCAAAATTTATTAGGCAGGAATTTCCTCTTTCTAATAAGCCTGGGAGTGCTGTGGGAGACTGGGGTCTATTTCACGCCTGCAGTCTCAACCATAAGAGATGGCCACGCCCAGGGGGGCCAGTTCAGAGACCCACCCCCAGGTGCACATTCTCTTTCTCAGGGATGTTCCTTGCTGAGAAAAAGAATTCAGCTATATTTCTCCCATTTGCTTTTGAAAGAAGAGAAATATGGCTCTGTTCTGCCCAGCTCACCGGCGGTCAGAGTTCAAGGTTATCTCTCTTGTTTCCTAAACATTGCTGTTATCCTGTTCTTTTTTCAAGGTGCCCAGATTTCATATTGCTCAAACACACATGCTGTACAATTTGTGCAGTTAATGCAATTATTACAGGGTCCTGAGGCGATATACATCCTCCTCAGCTGACAGGATTAAGAGATTGAAGTAAAGACAGGCATAGGAAATCACTAGGATATTGATTGGGGAAGTGATAATTGTCCATGAAATCTTTACAATTTATGTTTAGAGATTGCAGTAAAGACAGGCATAAGAAATTATAAAAGTATTAATTTGGGGAACTAATAAATGTCCATGAAATCTTCACAATCTACGTTCTTCTGCCATGGCTTCAGCCGGTCCCTCTGTTTGGGGTCCCTGACTTCCCACAACACCTCAATATATGAATAAATAGTTAAAATTACATATAAAACCTCATTTCAATAGAAAGTTATGTTATTGTCTTTTTATTTAGAAACAGTAGGATTTAACTCAAATTTTAAATTTGTTTCTCAAAACAAGTGCTGTGCAAATAAAAGCCAATATCAAGGCAATTGAATTTTGTAAATTGGGTGAAGCCACCCAGATATAAAAGAACCCAGATATAAAAGGTAGTGGTGGGGCCCTAGCAAACTGAAATATCTGTATAGATACTAATATCACGTTAATTTTCTAACATTGTGCCAGCTGAGCAAAACAGTTCTGTGGACTATATGCCATATTTTTGCTGCTCTTGATATAAATCACCAAGTTATTATTTTTGTTCCAGATTTTGGCACTTCCAAGATTGTATTTTAAAATTTCTGAAATTCTCAAATTACCTTGAAGTAAGTCAGTATTGTATCATTTCTGAGCTCAAACCCACAGGTGTCTGGTGAGGAATGATACTTAAAAAAGATTCATGTCATTTTAAAATATCGCATGGCTGAGAGAGAAGTTAGAGATTTTTTGTTTTTGAAATATGTAGGCAGCCCTACTATAATGATTATAATAGACAATTTAAATTTAAATTGTTCACATTGATTAACAATGTATTATATTTGACTTTTAAAAGTTCTTCATAAATATTTTAATATATGATTTTTTCTAAGATATGAAAATGCAATTTATAATGTTACTTATAATGCAATACTACCTATTAAAATTTTGAAACCATAATATATTATGGGAAATGTAAAATTTGAATACTTAATATATTAATGTATTTCATAATATAATCATTCATAATATATTTTGGACCCCATCTAAGGATATTTAGCTACCAGGCAACCAAAATATTTATTAAAATTTATATCACACATGTAGAATGTTATCAGAATGAAACTAAGACACTAGATTCTTCATACTTTCTCTGAAATAAAATGGTTTGGGAAGCTAAACTTCCTGAATTCTAGTTAATAGTAATACAGACAGAAGACACGGAAATACTGGGTAGAAGAAGGTACAAGATGCCCTGGCAAAGGCCGCATCCTCAAGCCTGGATACCCGTAGCCATAAATGAGAACAGGCATTCCTGTTTTTCCACCCAAAAAGTTGCCTTTTGGCTTGCCATGCTCCCTAGCCCGTACCCAGATAAATGCTGAACCTCAGACTCCAGAGTGAACCGGAAGTTGAAGAGGTAAGACAGGCAGACCAACGGACTCTTCCGCAGAGAAAGAGAGAAGAGGAGGAACATCTGAATACCAAGAGGAGTTTGGGAGTGGTCAGAGAGGAGTTTGGCCACTGTGCGGCCCAACTCCAGGGGAAGATTATCTTCCCACTCCATCCCCTGCTTTCACTTCCCCATCCATCCTGCTGAGAGCCACCTCCACCACTCAAGATCTCTCATTCAACCTTCAAGCCCATGTGTGACCCGAATCTTCCGGGACGCTAGGCAAGAGCTCAGGATACAGATAGCTATCATACTGGCCTTCTGCCCTTGTGAAAAGGCAGAGGGTCCATTCAGCTGGTTAACCCTTAAAGCCATCTGCGGACAGCAAGGCTGAGAGCATTGTAACACTGGGGTTGCAGGCATCCACCCCTAGACACTACCACAGGTCCAGAGCCCAAAGCACTCGCCCTGGCCTCTGCACCTGCCTATCTGCGTGGTCCCCCTCCCTCAAGGGGTTTCAGCAGCTGCGGCAACTGAGCAGGCCAGCCACACCCCTGTCGCATGTCCTGCGAGAGGGATCAGGGAACTCTAGCATGTCAATAGTATTTATTACAGGACAATATATGAGAAATCACTGCATATATGTGTGTGTTTGTGTGTGAGTCTGTAAATCTTGAACACCATTATACGGTTGTTCACCATTTTGTTGTTACAGGTTTGTTTGTTTTTTAATGGAGTCTTGCTCTGTCTTCCAGTGTGGAGTGCAGTGGCACGATCTAGGCTCACTGTGACCTCTGTCTCCCAGGTTCAAGCAATTGTCCTGCCTCAGCTTCCCAAGTAGCTGGGACTACAGGCATGTGCCACCAAGCCCGGCTAATTTTTTTTTTTATATTTTTAGTAGCGATGGGGTTTCACCATGTTGATCAGGCTGGTCTTGAACTCCTGACCTCCAATGATCCACCTGCCTCGGCCTCCCGAAGTGCTGGGATTACAAGTGTGAGCCACCTGCCTGGCCTGCTGTTACAGTTTTAAAATACCTCTGTATATTCCACCAAAAAGTTTTGTCACATTACAAACTTTCATTCAGTACAACCAGTATATATGATGTCTGGTACACATTTAAGCATAAAATGAATAATACATCCAGATTCATAGAAGGCCTATTTTAAGAAAATTTGGCCTCAAAATAGTAGTATGAAATATTTATAAACACAGACTAATACCAATGCAGTTGAAATGGGAAAGGTCCTTTTTCCCCCTTGCAGGGTGTGTGACAGGGGGAGTGGCTCGCTTCTTCAGTGCCCCATTCCTCTAGCGGAACGTATAGACAGGCAGGATGTGGAGCTCTGACTCCACCGCAGTGCATAGGGGTGAATGTCTACAGCTCCTGAAGCCCCAGTGGGCGTGTGTTACAGGGTGCTCATTTAGTTTTGCTCTTTTAGTTTTGCCATCTATAGGCGGCTTGTGTTAACCAGCTCAATTAGACCCTCTACTTTGTCACAAGGACAGAGGGCTTTCTGTATCCTGGGTTCTTGCCTTGGTGTACCAGAAGAATCAGATCACACCTGGACTTGGAGAATGAGTGCAAGGTTTTACTGGGTGGAAGTAGCTCTCAGACAATGCAAGCCAGAAGGGAGGTGGTTTTCCCTTGGAGTTGGGGTGCTCGGCGTCCTGGGCTCCCCTCTGACTGCCCTGGCAAAACTCCATGTTGTTCTGGAGCTCCAGCGTGCCGGCGCTTGTCAGTGCGTTCCTCCTGATGTGCAGCCACCTGTGTGTTCCTCTGCTGATGTGTGCCTCTCAATGTCCAGGTGCCACTGTGTCTTCTTCCCCTGATGTGTTTCTCACTACATCCAGCCACATGTGTGTCTGCCTGCTAGGGTCTCCGGGGTTTTTATAGGCACACGATGTGGGCAGGGTGGGACAGGGTGGTCTTGGGAAATGCAACATTCTGGCATAAAGGCAGGAGTGCCGTCCTCACGTAGATCCATGGGGGTGGAGCCCTAGCCAGGGACCACGCCCTCCTCTACCCAGCACTTCCCTTCCCCCTTCTGTATCATTTAAAGGGACCACACTCTTCCCATTCCAGCACTTCCATATCACAGTGACTAGATTTTCTGTTAAAAACAACAACAACAATCAAGAGCAAGACTATGTGTATAACATGTCTTTCCTGTGAAATGGTTATTGGTTATCACATAGCCCCGTGGTTAACAAATTACATATGAGAAAAACCCTCTACTTTTTGTTACTTTGTTTTAAATATTTAATTTTTTTCTATCTTCTTTGCAGTATCCGATTTCCCTTTGGTATCCAATTTAGTTCTCTAGGTTCTCTTCTGGCACTTAGTCCATTTATTAATTTTTATTCCAGAATAAAGTGTTAGAAACACATTCCTTGTCTGTATTAATCTATGTTAGAAACACATTTATTGACAATAAAAGCATGCTTTATTTTTTTAACAATCTGTTTCCAGACACTTCGTTTGTTCAAAGTGACCTTTTGTTGTCCTTTGCGTTTAATGTAATTTATAATTTGTCTTCATAGAACACGTAACATCAATGCTGAAAGTTAATTTGACTCCAGTTGTTACTTGTCAGTATGCATCAGTATCCCAACTTAAATAATAACCATAAGGATAATTTTAAATATTGTTATGATTGATGACACTCCACAATGTCTTAATTATATATTGTATAATATGTGGTTTTAATATGTTAAAATAAAAAATACCATGTGTAACATAGAAGCACAGACTGACATTTTATCACATTAATTCATTTACAATTACATCTGTTTATTTATTAACAATTTGTAGTCAATGAGAGGTTAAAAACTAGGTGCTAGATACAAAAGGAAAGTAAAACAGAAGTAAAATCCTGTCTAAGGAGCTGCCTATTCTTGTGTATTTCACTTGTCTCTTGTTGATGTCTATGACTGCCCTGTTCTCCTTAGAGGCCCTAGTTACACATGTTGTACAAAACATGGCTGCAAAAATCCAGAAGCTAGATACATTTATTACAGTGCATTAAAAATGCTGTTGCCACTGAAGACCTAAGCATTTAATGAGAGTAATAGCAAGTACATGCAGAGAGGCATAATGGGAGTATAGATTTCATGGTAAATCTCAGGGATAATGAAGGACTCAGGGACTGACTGCAAGTAGTTATAAATTGGTGCCTGCTCCAACTGCAATTCATACTGTCACTACTTCCTTGAGATGCTTCAGACACCATTCTTTTTCATCATTAATGGTAAAATGAAGAACAAATTGTGATCATTATTTTACAAAGATTTTGATGAAACGTGAAAGCTCTTTTTAACTAAGGCTTAAGTAGCTCATTATCAACTTTGAGATCACAATGCACTTTAATATATTCTGTCATACATAGAACTTTAACAACTGAACAGTTAAGGTCTTGTTTATTAAACCTAAAACAACTTGGGAAAATTAAATGATACAAGAGTAACCTATTTATCATATATATTGTGTACTGCCAAAAACAAGAGAGAGCAAGTAAAATTGGATATTTTCATTGTTGCTTTGCAAACTATTACCAAATGTCCATAGTAATTGTTCTTATTTCAACTAACTGAAGTTTTTTTTTTAAGTTAAATAGAACTGAATAAGATGGTTATTTAGAAAATATTGTAGATGACTATGTAATCGATTAAATATAATAATTCTTACTTTATTTGGTTAAAAGTGAACTACATAAATGATTATAGAATTTTAGACTAATTATAATTACCTGTACTAAGGTTAAAGGAATGTTAAGAGTTTTCTCTTTTCTGTTGTTTCCAGTGGTTGATGGCTTTTCCTGCTTATGCAATCCAGGCTATGTTGGGATAAGATGTGAACAGGACATTGATGACTGCATCCTGAATGCCTGTGAGCACAATTCTACCTGCAAAGACCTGCATCTCGTTAGTATCCACTGGCTTTTTATATACCTAAATGTGGACTAATATAATTTAACACCTATGTACAAATAGAGTGAGTTTTTGCCTGTGTGTTAGGTTAGTATATATATTACATATGCTTACTTCTCAAGGTTAGAAAACAGAAACTCAAGCAACTTTTTTTTTTTAACTTAAAGGTAGTAAAACATGTTCTATTCTCCACTCTATACAGGTTGGTTTAAATATTATATAACAAACTGTTCACTTATTGGATTCACAACTTGTGGCAATATTGAATTTGTGTAAAATTTCAGAATTTATTCTGAAAGGCACTGTGTGAGTCTTAACGGCCACCTATTTTTATCTAACTCATGGTATTACATTCACACATGTATTTCATTATCATTATCTTACATTTCACTCTGACCTCCATCTCATATTACATATTTCCAGTTTCCTTCACTCATCTGTTGGTGTTGTCCCTTCAGTACATATTCATTTGTCATCACCTTTGTCACAAGCATGTTCCATTCTGCCTTAAATGATCTGTGACATGGTTGGCAATTGATTTGGGATCCCCTCCGGCTCCTCATTTCTCACAAAGCCTGACATAAAAACACCTACTCAAGGTGGACTCACTCACTGACTGGCTTCAGAAAATAAGCAACATACAACACAAGTCAGGGCTACAATACTAATCCAGGCTTATAGTTTGTTACTTAACAACAGAACTGATATTTGCAAGAAGACTATACTTGTTGAAGTTAGAAAACAAAGCTTTAAAAGCAAACCTTTGAAAAGCCAAAATATGGTTTCAGCCACCACATATTTTGACTGTCAGTGCACTGACATTGTTTTTACAATAGAAGGAACATTTGTGGCAAACTGTTTTTTCCCACAAGGACTGCAGATACCTAATGGAATAACTGTAACTCGCATTTACATATCCATGACCAGAAACAGAGTTACTCCAGAGGTTGTCTAGCCACTTTTCAAGTATTTGTGGTTGTCTGGTTGCTTTGTCTTGGTCCATGTCTCATGCTTTATCTAAGGCAGTCATGTTAATCACATCCCACTCTTGGGGATTCCTTTAGAAGTGGACATGTGACACTATGCTGGTCTCTGAGGCAAGGGAGGCATTCTTTCTGAGGAAAGATTTCGTCGCCTGCTCTTAGAATGTGAGGAAAAGTATGCGTGACCTCTCCTATACCTTCTAACATCTGGATTTATGTAGTTGCTGTTACCATTTTGAGGCCCTAAAGCAAGATGGGGGGGTATAGTTGATTAGACTATCACTATTAACTACTTAAATAATAATATAATAAACTATTAGTCTATTATTAGTGAGTGTCCTGAAAACAGCAGAGATTAGAGATAAAAGAAATCTGGCCTGTGGTCAACTGTTGAACTCTTGACTGAACCTCTCAGGTTGCCTGCCCAACCTCTGGACCTAATATATTTGATCCTTATGGCCTCTTGTTTAATATTACTGAAGTCAGAGTTCCTTTTACTTGCAGGTAAATCATCTAATGTACACATCCATAATGTAATTACGCTTTATTTTAGGTTGTGATTTTGGCAGTAACTTCAGGAATAATCTGAGTTTATTACAGAAGAAAGAACCCCATACCTGTAATATAAGATTCCACTTTCAGACCTGACACTGCCACAGATATTCTGTGGGACATTAAGCCAGTCATTTGACAAGTCAAGGAGTACAACTTTACATCTTGCCTTATACCAAATAACAGAACTTCCAAGGATATTCTTGTCTCATTTATCTATTTTATGAATTGCCACTAAGAAGCTATTCCAACTAACTGTAGTATAGTTTAAAATCTTGACTCCTGTTTCCAGAAATTGTGATAATAAGAATATGGGGCGGGGGGGAAGCAGAAAGAAGCAAAGTTGAAGAAGAGATAAAGTTCTCATCTTATTAACTGGTTTAAATATATTTTAACATAAGGAGACTATTGAAATTATCTAACTCCTAACTGTAAGTCATATATCAACTTCAAGAACAGAAATGTCATCATACTGGTGATATCCTTCCAAGAAATGGTGTTATGGAGACCACAAATTGCTTAAAATATTAAAGCTCAAAGCATTTCATAGCTTTCAGATATTGTGTCTGGGGCCTAAAGACTACCCTCAGGTTTGATAATGTATAAGAAGAACTCAGAAAAACTGTTTTACTTTTTGCTAGGATTTATTACTATAAAAGTTACAGATTAAAATTAGCAAAGGGAAAGACACATAAGATAAAGTCTAAGATAAAGCAGGTACAGTCTTCCAGGTGTATTCTCCCATTGGAGTTGCATGAAAAGTACTTAAAATACTTTCTCAGAAACAATGTAGGGCAACATATATAAAGTGTAACCAACCAAGGAAGCTCACATAAGCCTTGTTGTCTATGGTTTTCACTGTAGGTCAGTCATGATGACATGAAGCACCTGCATAACTGACCTTAGCTAATCAGTCTCCAGCTCCTGCAGGGGCCAAGCTGATGCAGCATGCCCCAAAGCCCTAGGCATACAAAAAAAGGGTTGCAAGCATAAATCACATCTAATTAGCATAAACTATTTGGCACAGCTCGAGGTCTCAGGTATCAAAGACATTATTATCTGTCAGGATATTCCAAATTCAGAGGTTATCTCCCAGGAGCCAGTAAAGGGCCGGTCCTTCCGATGGAATATATGTAGGCTTGAGCCCTGAATTTTGAGTTAATGCTTTCTTGCTCAAATGTCTTGTTAAATATTGCCTTTTTGTGTATGAATAAATAGTATACTATTGGAAAACAATGCATTCTATAATAATAAAACAAAAATAGTACAAAGATACTAAGTCATATAAAAAGAGCCAAAATTCATATTTTTAAAATAAAGCCTGGATTAGACATAATACATAATTTTTTGAGTTTTATATTTACTTGCTTTTACTAACTCATTGGTAAAAGAAAAAACATAAAATGTGAAGGATTTGAAGTGGAAGAGAAAATTAGAAAGGCACAGAGTTGGATTTTTCTGCAGAATATTTAATAAC
This sequence comes from Homo sapiens, assembly GCF_000001405.40. NCBI lineage: Eukaryota > Metazoa > Chordata > Mammalia > Primates > Hominidae > Homo > Homo sapiens. The sequence continues at coordinate 64,994,563 of NC_000006.12, read as the reverse complement.
CTTAAAAAAACAGAAAGATGATTTATTTAATCTATAAAACATTCGCATTTGCCTAAAGAGTCACCGGCCTGCTTGTTGTATGAGCTGGACTGTCCAGATGAACCCAGGCAATCCCACTGACATGTGGCTTGCATCTTCTTTGAACCTGGTATGTGTATAGCTTTAAATTAACATTTTTATATTTACAGCATTTTCTTTTGATTGTATTGCAGCATCATGATGCTGAATTTAGATGAAAAGCAGAAAATAAGAAGACTTCAAATCCACAGTAGGAAGTGATTTGTAACAATGAGCCAGTTTTCTTCTTTTCCTTTCTTTATGGTTCAGTAAATCTAAGAAAACAATAGGAGGAAAAAATAATCTTTTGAAAGTCTAGCATATAATAAAATACAAATGTTAAGAATGTGTATAGTAAGATCTATTCCCTAGTGTAACTTTGTTATGTATATTTGAGAATAACTATTTCTTGTGGTTATTTAAATATGTATGATCAAATTAATCTAGTATTTCCCCTCTCATTTTAGTTTCGTTTTCCTCTTTATCTTACATGAATAATGAATGCTTATTTTTGATAACAGCAGGGGAAACAAAAATAGTGCAGTAGAACTAATGTGGAAGGAACAACTCTGCAATATATAAATATATATATATAAATATCACACACATCACACACACACACACGTATACTACAGGTTTAACTTTTCCCCCAAACATTCAGATGCAAAAACAAACTGAATTTATATGTCTTCTAAAAAAAAAAAAACTACCTTTACTTTCATCCACCATATGGTTGAAAATCCATGTCAATTTTTTTTTCATTATTTTGGTTTTTTTTTAATTATACTTTAAGTTTTAGGGTACATGTGCACAACGTGCAGGTTAGTTACATATGTATACATGTGCCATGTTGGTGTGCTGCACCCATTAACTCGTCATTTAACATTAGGTATATCTCCTAATGCTATCCCTCCCCCCTCCCCCCACCCCACAAGAGACCCCAGTGTGTGATGTTCCCCTTCCTGTGTCCATGTGTTCTCATTGTTCAATTCCCACCTATGAGTGAGAACATGCAGGTTTGATTTTTTGTCCTTGCGGTAGTTTGCTGAGAATGATGGTTTCGAGCTTCATCCATGTTCCTACAAAGGACGTGAACTCATCATTTTTTATGGCTGCGTAGTAGTCCATGGTGTATATATACCATTTGACCCAGCCATCCCATTACTGGGTATATACCCAGAGGATTATAAATCATGCTGCTATAAAGACACATGCACACGTATGTTTATTGTGGCACTATTCACAATAGCAAAGACTTGGAACCAACCCAAATGTCCAACAATGATAGACTGGATTAAGAAAATGTGGTACATGTCAATTATTTGAGAGTCGCTTATTTCCTTCCCTTGGGATTTGAGTAAACACTGGAGGTGGATCAATCCAGAATTAATGGGGAACAGCCTTTGCTATACAGTTCATCTTGGCTCCTAATAAAATGCCTATATGGTATCTCCATGCTCCTTTCAAAAATATGTTAATCTGTGAAATGGTTTCAATCCTTGCATACCAAATGTGGCTCCCAGGACCTTCTCTGTACCCTTGCCTTCAAGGGCATGATGCTTAGCTAATCAGTGGTCAGGTCCCAGTTGTCCCTTCAGTATACCAAGTTGGAACCACAAAAACCTCTAGGTTCTCTTCTTTCTCCAGGAATACAAACTCCCCATCAGTGCGGAATCAATCCAACTGCTCTCTGTCCAAATACTAAAGCCTTCATTTCTTTCATATCCTCCTTCTCTATAAAGATTTGCTTAATCACATTTGTTGGAAATTAACACAGAGAATCTGACTCATATCAGAGCTCCGGAGTTCCAGAATTCTCAAAACACAAACAGCCATCTGAATATGCCTAAAGAAAGGAAAAATTCAATTTTTGTAGCAAAAAGAGAGACAAAAGCACATTTAGTTCTCATTAATTTCTCAGATACTTTGGAGTGTGACAAAATTAATCCATCCTGAAATATCTTAGCTCTTATATATAGCCTTTAAATGGATATATTTTATATTAATATTGCTTTTAAGTAATGGTTTCTATGGAATTTAGTCTAAAATGTTAAACTTCTAAGAATAAATATTTTCTTAACTTTTTTTATTTTTATTAGATTAAACAACTTGTAAGCTTAGAGAACTTAAAAGAGCAGAGACAGCATTTGAAGATTGTCTAGCTTTGACATGAATTTGTTCTATGATTCACAACTAGCCAATTTATTAGAATCATAAAACGAAATGAAAACTTCTTATAGTATTCATACAAGTTTACTATATACCAATTTATTTTATTACATTAAAGACTATATACCTTTTTATTTTAGTGTCAAAATATGCATAAGCAAATACCTATTATTAGACATTTTAATTTGTTTATCAGTTTCTTCCATAAAATGTAGGAGCTGGACTCAATTGTTCTAAAATAGGGAGTTGCTTTTGAAAAGACACGTGCTTAAAATTCTGATTCAGATGATGGGTCCAGGCATTTAGATAATTTATAACGCCTTGTGATTTTGATGTGTACTTCTATTTGAAAATCATTGAACTAGTTATCTAGATAGCACTCTCTAGCTCTAAATTCCTGTGATATTCTGAGTAAAGCACAGAGATTTCTATTTCATGTGTATTGATAATTCACAATTTATTTAGTACCTTAAAGAGGAAATAATGGATGATCTGAAAAATTTGGAAAATGATAAAACTGATTCATCCTCTCTGTTTTTAACAGCATATTTCATAGCATCTTTCCTTCATTAAGTACTATTTTCTTGTGGATTCCTCCTTCGGTTTTAATGTTTTTGTCTTTAAGACAAGCAGAATAAAGTCTATTTATTCTATTCCAATTCTTTTGTGGGAGAGATAATAATATATGGTTTTCTCCACACTATTGTAATAAATTAGTGAAGTGTTAGTCTCCCTATGTATTGGCATTTACTAATCAGAAAATCCATACATGAAATTATAGCTTCTCTTAGAGGCTGGATATAATGTTTGAAATCATTATGAGCATATTAAAAATAATCAATGACTGATTGATTATTATGATATCCAAAAGGTTCACTTAAATCTGTTATTAAATCTCTTGCTGCAACATCATCAGTAGTTATTATGTAGCCAAAACTTGAACTAAACCTTGATGTATTAGCTAACTTCAAAACCTATTGTTAAAAGAGGCACTGCAGTGACTAGGTAACACAAAATAAAGTTTTTTGGTCATGCCCATTTTAAACAGCCTGCTATGTTTATATAGAATAAAATCTGCCTACAATGTATTACTCAGATCTCTACTTTTTATTATACCAATCTTCCCTTTAAGAATTTATTGAACATAATTTAATGTTACATTTATAACTATGGTTAACTATGATAGAGGTCAGCTTTCTGTCATTTCTACAATAAACTAGATTATGGAATTCTTTTCCCTGTATGATGTAAGACTAAAATAGAACTTAAATTCCCTCATCTGATGACCTGTATAATTATCTTAATATGTTCCCCCTCAATTGTCAGTTTTAATCATAGTTACTATGCCTATCTGAAGCAACCTTATTTCTTCCCTTTTAAACTATTGTTTTGAACCTATGATGGCTCTGAAACTGATTAAATTTATCAGGATTACATGCAAAATAAAAGCAAACAGAACCTGAGAAAAAGACTTGTTGATTCACCTGAGTAAACAAGTATGTGAGCTTTAATGCTTTGGACTTCAGAAATCTCCTCTGGAAGCTAAAACATATTTTCTCTTCTTTCTTATTCCAAGATTCATTACAGAGAAGAGAGGTTTACAGATGGCTGAATTTTGAGATTTAAGAAATCCATGAAGCAGTATTAACTTCATAAATAATATGTGAAGACATAGCAGATCACTGAGAGGAATTTTCCATTTTCAGATTTTCTAACAAAAGTCAGCACTTTCCAGAAATTATCTAGCTTAAAAAATGATTTAGAACTGATTGAATACTATTTCCATTTCCAATATTAGCCAAAGTGCATAAAGAAATGAATTTATTTTGAAAGAATTATGAGACAAATTAAGCTGATTTCAAAACAAACACTGCACTTTACCGTTATTATTTGTGATATTTACATAACTATAAATGGGACTCATCTCTGAGCTTCACAATTTATTTCTGAGAAATCAATCAATAGTTACATTCTACAGGAATTCCACTTTTTTTCCTAGAAAACATTTTATATGCCATTTAGATACCATTTTTAATTAGTTGACCATATAAAAATTGGTTCTAAAAACCGCTGTGTTGTGTACACTGTGTTCATATCATGCATTTAAGGGGTTCATAGAGAAATAAAATCACACTTTCTTTCAGAACAGATTGATTTTAGCAATTTATTAACTTAATAGCCTCAGTAAATAACTCCATTGTGTTCTAAGTCCCTGTTTATTTCTAACCACCTCATTTGTCTGTAGGTAGTTTATTAAAAGTAAAAAATAAATAGGAAATTTAGGATTTGGGAGTTGATAGATACATGTGTAAACAAGCACATGTGCAAGTATGCCTGTACATTTGTGTGTACCTACACAAATAGAGAATATGTGTATCTCTGTTCTTTAGTCTTCTGCCAACCATCCTACGATAAATAGAGCTTAACACCTTTCTAAAATCAAGCTCTTGAGCTGAAACCAGCTACTTCCTACAATAAACCTGTCTTGGTTATAGTGTGTGTGAGTGTGTGTGTGTGTGTGTGTGTGTGTGTGTGTGTATGAATATATATTCTATGTTATATATTTTTATATTTATAAGAAATATATAATGTATACAATTATATATAATATAAAATTATATTATAATTTATACATAAGAAATATGTAAGATATAAAATTTAATGTATAAAAATAAATAATATAATTTTTATAATTATGTATTTAATTTATATTTAATTTATATTTATTTAATTTAAATTAAATAATATAATTTTTATACATTACATAGTTCTTAAATATAAAATATATGATATATTATAACATAATATATATTATAATTTTATGTATTACATGTTTCTCATATATATTCTTATATATATATATATATATATATATTACAGCTAGCCAGTAAATAGCCTCTTCCTGTTTCTCATATATATTCATATATATATATATATATATATTACAGCTAGCCAGTAAATAGCCTCTTCCTGTAAATTGATGAAGAACCTTGATTTGAACTGATAGAGAATGATCTATGGCATCATCTTGACTACAGTAGGGTTAAATTTTGTAGTGTGCTCTTTAAAACCAAAAGTCTGCTTATAGAAGAGAAGAGGGCCTTTGGGATAAATAGCTTTGGCCTCACCAGCTGTGTTACCTTGAACAAGTCATTTAACGTTTCTAAGCCTCAGTCAGTTAATTTTAATAATAAACATATTCATAGCAGGTACTCTGTGGAATTGTTACACAAATTAAATGTAAAATGCTTCATGTATTTTACTTTATGTTGAATCTATAACATAATGCCTGTCCCATACAAGGCATTAATAGATATATACCATGTTTTATTATGATTATAATGATTTAACTATGGTGCACCTAGTGTTTCTCTGAGTTGAACTAAAGCTCTTACACTGATTTGCCAAGCCAGGGTATTTTATTCAAGTGTATGGAAGTGAGCTGTAATTCAGTCACTTTTGTGTTAAAAATAATTTCTTCACTGATCATGTGTTTTGATATTAATATATTTTCATATCAAATAATATATAAGCTTATATTTTTACATGAAAACTTTGAAGAAAGTACAAAATAAAATACCTATTATGAAGACTGCTAACTCTTAACAATATTTTGTCAGGGTTTAATTATTTACTTTAACCACTAATGTCAATTCTTTGAGGATGAGGTTATGCTCTATAATATTTTTTAAAATTATTATATCCTCAAGGCTGAGTTATGACAATGCCTGAAACATTGCAGATTGCTGAGTGAGAGACAGAGAGAGAAAGAGGGAGAGAAGGAGGGAAGGAGGAAGAGAGAAAGAAAGGAAGGAAAGAAGAAATGAATGGTCAGGTGTTTACCTGTACGTCTTTTAACTTTTTTTAGATTTTTTCATAGAGTAAGAAACTCACAGAGTCTATACTCATGCCCAGATTCCAGAGATTTCCCAGATGCTGATAGCATTTGTTTGACATGATAGCATTTGTTTGACATGATATCATCGGATGCTGAGGCTCTTGGGCCACCTTTTAAGGCTTGCTGTGAGATTGCTGCATTTCTGCTGAAATGCTCTGCATCTGATAGACACAAAGCAAAACACCTCAGCCTGATCTCTCTCTCTCCAGGTATCAAGCCTCTAATCTGGCTAAGTCCAAGTGAATCTTATCAGTGGCACAGCCTTTTAGGTCAGTTCCCCTGGTTTAAGTTGCTGGTCTTTTTTTTTTGCCCTCTCAGAGCAAGAAAATCTCCCTTCCTGTAGCTGCTGTGCTTAAAAGACCAAGACCAAAACTTTGCCCTACATTCTTAAAAAAGCCTGAAACAAAAACTCAAAAGAGACCAATGGGATTGGTGTGGATATAAATGTGGATGAGTATATTAAATATCATGTTAAACATAATATATTTAATACAATAAGTATATTAAATATAACACTATATTAAACACAAGTGTATTAAATATGAAAATGAATTTACACATACATGTGGGTTTAGAGTGTTATTACCAATTCTATGCTTTTTTAAATTCTTATTACTATATACAATCAAGGACTAGTTTGCTTTTCAGAAAATATAAATCCCACTTTGTTCTGAGGTGTGTCTTTCCAGGATGTCTTTTATAGTTCACTGGTATATCATAGAAGGTATATTTCACAGAGAAAAATGTAATGTTCATAGAAGTGAAGCAAGTTTCACAAGGAGACACGGGGAATATACAGCACAAGTCATGCCTCCCCCAAGATTCCCTTTCTGTCCTACATATGCTGTACCTCTGAAAGTATCAGACCTTGAGTTCAGCTGCCCACAGGACTCACAAAACAAGGAAGGACAAGGATTCCAAGAGCAAATCAGTATTTCAGAGTCTCTACAATACACCAGAATCACCTGTGCCAGTTATAAACTGCATGCATATTTGGTATTCCCGCTTTGGGGATTCTGATTTAGTGAATAGAAGGTGAGGTTGAGACTCTGTGTTTTTAATATCCCCCACAGAGAATTCAGTTGCAGAGCCATAGTGCATAAGTATTGGACTGTGCATAGCCACAGTGATTTATGTTTCTAAGCATTTTATACGCAGCATTCTGCACCCAGCCAATGCTTATCTGCATGGAAGCTTGCACTGAGAGGTGTAGCAAGAACCTGATGATTCCGGAAATCATCTGCTAACAGGTGATAGGACTTAGCCACAGAGATTGAAATACAAGTAAAAGCTGCTTGTCGCCAGAATAACTGGAGTTGAAGGGAATTTAGAACTAGAATTCTAAATATATTGATAATAAAACATAACAGAATCCAAAGCTTTTGAAATCTTTTCCTAAGGATATAGACCTCTAGTCACTTCTCCCAAACAGTATCAATTACTGCACTTTTACCATCAGAAAGGTGATGTTCTAATGGAAAAAGAGAGTACTCTCTTCTTAAGGTTTGCCAATTCAATGAGCTTAATCAACAGATTTCTGTCATTTGCCACCAAGGTTTTTCTTTAGGCTTAAATATAATAAATGGAATAGACAGAACAACTACACTAGAATTTTTGGTCTGAGTTATATATATATATATATTCTGAGACAAACTAAAAACATTTCTAAAATACATCAATTTTAACTAAAATTTAAAATTAATAGTATGAAATGGTGAAGAAATATAATGTGCAAAACATTTTAACTTTACTGTGTATTAGTCTAACTGTAATTTGGCCCTTATAATTGTTTCTAAGAGGAGACAATTGGATGAATGAAGAACCTAATACATAGAAACAAAAAGTAAAAACAAACCATAGTAAGTATTATTATAATTTTTGTGTAGATATCTGGGAAACATTGCAGGAAACACCATGAAGTATTAGAAAAAAAAAAATTGCATAGGACTGCCTTTACAGTATACATCTTAAAGGATCTTCCAATAATTCAAGGCAGTCAAGTTAAAATTGTGAAATAAAGTGAATTTATTTTGTACTGCCTTTTCATTCACCTTTCTGTGAGTGATATTTATACAATAAATTGACATAGGAATTTGTATGTGTTATTTACATATGTGTATATTTTATTTGCTACATTAGATGAAAATTATAGAAAAAAGATAGATGTAGCAAAGGAAATGAAACAAGATTTCTTTGAATAATAAGCCTGGCACCTTCTGATAAAAGTTTTTCTTTTTTTCTATATTCTTTTTTAATCGTTATTCTTTTCTTATAATGGAAATTAAGGTATACCTCAATTCCTTTGTGGATGGGAATATAGGCTTGCAAAACCCTTTATTTGCTTGAATATTGAGAAATAGAATAAACAAGTTTAAAAAAGTTATCTGATATAGATTCTTCCATATGATAATGATAAATCAAAACTTGGTCTCAGTAAACATTGAGATATGAGTATGGAGAGCTGTGACAGAACGTAGCTGGATTCTGGAAAACGTGATAAGTAGAAGCAGCTGAGTAGAGCAGACTGCTGGACAGTTGTGGCAGAACAGGCATATATCTAAAGAGCTGAGGCCGACTTCCACAGTTAGTTTTTATACAAATCTTCTGAACCCTCTTTTAAACATACTTACTCTACACTTTCTCCGGAACATAAATTCAGTCTAAGATTGCCAGATTCAGCAAACAAAAATACAGATGTCCAAATATTGCATGGGACATATTTATAGTAAAAGAATCAGTTTTTCTCTGAAACTCATATTGTGTCCAATAGTTTGTCTAACAACCCTAATTAAATCAGACTTTATTTTAAAGAAATTTATTTTTTCAGTCACTATATGACTGTTATTCTTATCTTTTTGTAAAAAAGGTTTTTTAAATTTATTTTTAGACCTCACTTAGAGTTTGACTTAATTTCAATAAAAGAAGATAGAATTGTTCTAAGTGAATTCTTCTAGAGCAGCTTAGAATATGCAGTTGAGCAAAATATCATAGAGGAGGAAAAATAAAATAAGGCATTACTCCCTCATTGTCTAGACTGACAATTTAGCTAAACAAATAATGACACTGCCTGAGGTACTTCCTGATAGGCTTAATTAGTCAGATCCCCAAATAATTTGCTACTTCTTCTTATTCATTCAACTGACAAATCCTCTTTTTGTTACTTGAGTTCAAAAAGAAGAAATTACAGCCCTAAGCAAAGTCATAACATTTGTATAGGTTAAGACCTTTCGCAGGCTTGTGGAAATATTTTGACAAGGATGGTCTTCAGTGGCATCTGCTTTTGTTTTCAGGGATGACATGTGATTGCATCAGTTCAATTGCTACAACCAGGACCTATTCATATAAGGCTTGTCCTACATCTGCATATTCATAAAACAGGAGCTAATTATTAAATATTTACAAAAGATTGTACCAGAAAATTAATATATGTCAAGGGAGGCTCCAATAGGTATTCATTGTCTGATTTTCAGCAAGTTTTTAGATTGTCTGAATGTTAAAAAGAGGTTTATTTGTACTTTGTTAAAGGGAGGCAGAATCTCAAAAATTCTTGAAAGTCAATAATTTCCGGAAGCTAAGAAAGAAACTTTTATTTCTGTTACAAGAAACTGATTTTGCTACAGTAAGGCTGCTGGAGGGATGGATAAGAATAAAACCTGGATCGTATCACAGAAATAAGTTCACTAAGAAGATATGTCCCTGGCTGCACTGTAAGGCAGAGGGAGTTCAGTTGTCTTTATTGGGTAGGACATATTACAAACCCATCATAAATAAATTTACAATTTAAAATAGTCTCGTCTATCAATAATGTATAGCTAGCTAATTCTTTCTTATTTTCAAATGATGCCACTGCCTTGTTTTTCTTGTACACGAAAATTGATTACAGAGCATTGAACTTCCTTTTTTAATTTTTACATAATTATTTAATAACATTTAAAAATCTGAGTGAAAAACTAATACATGTTCTTTTGTAGGCAGTTTAAAAAGATATGGACAAATACAATTAAAATTTTTTAAAAAGTAATTTCAAATCTTACTACCAAGACAGTCATCATCAGTATATCCTTCTTCACAAAAATGGTGTGGAAAATATTATCATATGTCTTTTAGTTTTCAGTTGATAGTTTGGTAACCTCTCTGCTCCTTTAGAAGAAAAGCCATCCAATGGGAGAATCAGTCTGTAATGGGGTCATCTCTGCTTCTACATGATTGGAAGGGAGATGTCAAGGGTAGTTTATCTGGAGGGCCCAGAGACTATATCTGACCTCAGAAGTCCAGTTTGCCTTTCATTAGTTGGTCTACAATGTTTTAAGTTTGAATCATTTTTCAAAATTTAATAATGGACACATTTCATCATATAAGAATCAGGATTTTCATTTTCTTTTGAATAATCAGATCTCGTAATTCCAGACGGGATTCTAATACAAACAGGATTCCTGGAGTTGAGTAGTCTCTGCCTACTTTAGACAGCGCTCTACTTTTCTGCTTCCTCACTTTGCTAAATAAAGATGCTCTATGCCAGGTGTTTAAGAGCTTGGTGGTTAAATGCTACAAAGTCATGTAAACTTGTGCCAAAGACTGGTCTTCTTTAGACTCATGGTTTTATGACTTTTCTGTTTAAGGACTAGCGTACAGGAGATTATCTCACCATGTTTAAAACAGGGAGAAATAACCACAAAATTGAGTCTTAAAACTTAGCAGAAAAAAAAAATTACCTAGAAAATGTTCATCAAGAAAATGTTCAGCACCTGTTGTTAAATCAGCATATCCACTTCATAGTAACCCCATTAACACATACTAGTACAACAGAAGTAAAAAGTAGGAGAAATCCTTAAATGGGCTTTATAATAGTATCCAAATATCTTTAAATAATGATTTTAAAAATTGTAATAAGAGTTTTTAAAAATATTATGTTGGAAGCATCATTGTTTATGAGTGGAAACATCAAAAGTATAAGTTTTGTGTGGGGGGAAAACTGGTTGTATTGACTCAATTGAGTGAAGCTATATATATTTATTATCTATTTATCCTGACACAAATAGCTCATATGCTCCCGCATTTCTTATATTCACCCTGAAATATGAGTAGATTAATTGACATAATGCAGTTATCTATCTTTTTTATGTCTTCACTAGATAAGAAGTGCACTCTACTGAGACAGTTTCAGTTAATTAAATCACTTACTTCATATTGTACATTATTCTGTCTAGGCAGTGTAGCAATCCTGTTGACATTTTGCCCATAGATGACCTCTTTCAAAGCTAATTCCTATTCAGTGGTACTCTATGAGTAAATCAAAAGATGATGCGTAATATGAACGCTTTATCTTTTTAAAATCGAGAATATCAGTGTGGAGGAAAAATAAAACCGACATGAAATTCATAATGTTATAAAATAAGAACCGTTTAATCCATGATATCTATTTATTTAATAGATTTATGCTTGACATCCATTTCTCAGGCACTGACAAGCATCATAAGGATTTTATTTTCAAAGATTTCTTGTATAGATTTAAATGTTGTTACTGGACAGCTGAAGGGTAACGATTCTGTACAAATCATATACAAAAATATTATTTTAGAACTGTATTTTGGGTTTCACTCAGAAGTTGCCACTTTATTAAGGTTAAGCATAAATACAATCAACAAAATCAGTTTTTGTTTAAATTATAAACAAAATCTTTAATATTTTCTGATATCTATCAACTCAAATAGGAGATAACTACTTTAAATTATTAAATTATAATACAATTAAGTGTTTTAAAAGCACTCAAAATCATTTTCAAAGTCATATATATCTATATAGATTGAATGTGTCTCTATTAGGACTCAATTACAATTGATTCTATGTCCCTATTTAGTCAGCCTTCTGCCAACACTTTTCAAACTTCTTTGATTTTGATCTCCTTTCAATACAAGGTTTTGTTCATATATTTCCAAAATACATGTAATTTATAAATTATGTGCATGACAGATCCTACTAATAGAAGTTATTAAATTATAAACATACACATAAAATGTAGAATAAAAAGCAACACAGTAAATAAATGATTCTTAATGTTGCATTATTAGTAATCTAAAGTGTTGGCATATTTAAGTTATTATAATTGATTCACGAATACACTATAATTAAACTTGCTTTGTCTTCCCTTTTTTTCTTTGAATTAATTCTACTACAGTAATTCAAAACTTTGTTGCTATCTTCAATTTGTTTAAATATTTGATTTAATGGGCTGACCAACATGAAAAAGGTACCATGCAGAGATACATAATTAAAAATGGGAATAGTGTAACATTGATTGTGCTTACTGAATCATTATATTTACATTTGCCACACCCACTAATTAAGCCAATCCTGTAGAGGGAAAGGAAAGATATTAATGCTGGCATGGTTCTCTTCTCTTGATTTCTCTTGCTACAAGTACTATTGTGGCCTGGTCTTATTGAAATCTAGAGTTGCCTCGTTTAAAAAGGGGACCCTTCCTACAGTGAGGTACTTTCATATTACTGGTTTTTAATTCTTTGGAGACACAGCCACTGGTAACATCTGGCAGTAGTTCTAAGCTTGGCCAAACTCTGTTTTCCATATTGTCACTTACAACCCCCTCTCCCTCCATTTTGTATCCAATTATTCCCTTCTAACCCAAAGCCAAGGAGGAAACCTCTTGAGAGAAACCATTTAAAAATGGTCTGCATTTTCTTTTCTTTTTGGATTCCCCTACTAGTGAGGCAGTAAAACAAAATGGTTTAAAATAAAGCAGTTAAGATGTTGGATCTGAAACCAGACTCCCGTATGCAAATTATGGCTCAACCATGTACAGGATCTATAATTTTGAGGAAATTATGTCATCTTTCTATGCTTCGGTTACCTGACCAATATGATAAAATATATGGGTATAGTAAGAGAAGAAATGATGATTTTTGCCAGGTGGTTAGAAGAAGGTAAGAAGGGCATGTTTGATCTGTCAAGAAATGGAAATGGAGGTGAAGGGTGGCTCCAGTGAAAAAAACATGAACAAAAGTGAATTTGTTCAGAAAGAAGGCATAGAGGCAGCTGATGAAAGACCTGGTAGGCTATCATACAAACTTTGATTTTTACTCTAAAAAGAGGGAAGTCAGTTAAGGACTTTAAAGAGCAATATGACAAAATATGACTTAAGTTTTAGGTTTTCTTGGGTTTCTCTATTACCTTGCATTCTAATTCAGTAGCTTTACGTATTCTTTTTCTCATGTCAGTTCTTGAAAGCCAGGAATGTTTATTATTTATCTTTGAATCTATAAAACCCAGTATATTGCCTGGATTAAAATCAATGCTTAATAATTATGTGATATAGGAATGAATTGCTCATCCACCGAGGCTTTATAACCTTAGGCAAATTCTATAATTATTGATTTATTGATCAAACCTTTTCTAAGTGAATTTTATGATTGAATTACAGCGACTTAAATCTGGGCCTCAGTTTTGTTATTTTGTTTTGTTTTAAAATGAGAGCAGTACCTTCCTGAAAAGTCTTATTCTCTTTTAAGATATCCAGTTTTAAATTAAGGGTATTTTTAAGCCTCAAAGGTTTTTTTTTATCTTAACTCACTCAAATGGACAATTTCCAAAGTATTTTTAAATGAAATGGAAGATGACAAACCACATCTCAACTATTAAAGTCTTAGGCCTGGTGAGAAATCATTAGTTTTATAAAACTAGAATGTGTCCTCTCATTCAGTTTGACATTGCTAATGATTTTAAACATATTTTTCCCTTGATATTCTTATATTGTCTCACCATAAAACATAACAAAGCATATACAACATATAAACCTACATCATTCTTCAATATGAAGGAGATAGGAACACAAAGTATATGTATTAATACAGCTATATTAAAGCAATGATATTAGCTAATATCAGACATGCTGTAATATAAATGCAGCTGCTATTTATAGAAATATGTATTTAATAATTCATGTTTTACTAATGTACAATAAATATACAGCATATAAAGACATATATATTTATTGTGGCATTCTGGAGAATTATCTTGAGGCTACAGACTAATTTAAAATATGATCAATCTTATCACAAATTGGGGCCATTTCATGAAACCAGCCATATATTCTGTTGATGACCTAGATTTAACTTGATTCCTCTGAAATTTTTCTGTGCTATTTTAATGCCTTAAAGGGGGAAGTAGCATTTAAACTGAGATCATTTCTTCATAATGATTGTACATTATTGTGGCATGTTGAAATAACAATAAAATTTGCATTGCCATTTTTTTTATAGAGAAGGAAAGAAAAAACTTGCAGCACATTTTTTATTATTGCCCAGTTCAGAGTAGAAAGTCTTACTGTATTTCTTTCCTTTTCTTTTAAAAAAATTTAGCAATAGAGGACTAAAAGGATGTCACTTATTTTACTGGAAGGAGATTCTATTATACACCATCACCTGGAACAAAGAGTTTGGTAGTGTCTCCAAGGATTGTGCATCACTTATTGTGGTGACATCCCAGAATAATGTTGAAAATATTATTTACTTTATCATCTACTAAAAATAATTTGTCCAACTCACAATAACTTAGTGGGAATTTTAAAAAATATTAATCATGTTGGCTAATTAATCTATACAATAGTATATCTTTTAAAATATCCTTTATTTTTCAGGAGACTATATTGCTTAAACACTTCTCTTGCATAACTAACAGTCCTTTATCTTTATTATATGTTAGCAATAAGTGTTTTGCTTGACTTTTTAAATCTTGATTCTCTTGGGTTATTTATTTTACTTATTCCCCTTATCATTTCTTATTCCATTACAGCTATAAATTAATCTACCTGTCAACAACTGATCTTTGCTTTCTCTCCTCATTCTTCATTCCAGTCAGATGCTTCCAGAGTACAGGTCCTGCTCTGCTCAAAAAAGACAAAGAAAAGTAGTGCAAAGTGTAATTCCCAGTCAGAATTATGCTATTAAATGTAATCAGGAAAGCCATTATGATTCCTCTTTTTTTCCCACGGGAGGTGGGCAGTTAGCTCTACTTAGGTCAGTTCTATCAAGTTTCTCATAATCTTGAGATTTATGCCACTAACTAATAATATAATTAATTAGCTAGTACACTAACATAGTTTCATTTCTGTGTAGGAAAAATTTATTTTCATCTTGTTTTAAGTTCGCATTGGTTACTTCATAAAATTGTTAAAATACGGGCATAACTCAGAGATATTGTGGCTTTGATTCTAGTCTACTGCAATAAAGCGAATATAGCAATAAAGCGAGTCATACAGTTTTTGGTTTCCTAATGCATCAGTTGACTCTTGCTTTCACAAAAGATTTATCTTATAGCGCTGCTGTTTAATAGCATTTCATCCACAGTAAAACTTGTTTTAAGTTGAAGTAAATCTTCTGAAATCCTGCCACTGTTTTATCAACTGTTTATGTAATATTCTAAATCCCATTTTGTCATTTCAACAATGGTCATAGCATCTTCACCAGAAGTAGATTCCATTTCAAGAAACCGCTTTCTTTGCTCATCCATAATAAACAATTCCTCATTCATTCAAGTTTGATCACAATATGGCAGCAATCCAGTCACATGTTCAAGCTCCACTTCTAATTCTAGTTCTCATTATTTCCACCACATTGGCAGTTCCATCCTCCACTGAAGTATTGAATCCCTCAAAGTCTTCTGTGAACATTGGAATAAACTTCTTCCAAACTCTTATTAATGTGGATATTTTGACCTCTGTCCATAAATCCTGAATATTCTTAATGGCATCTAGAATTGTGAATCTTTTCCAGAAGGATTTTTATTTATTTATCCCAGATCCATCAGAGAAATTACTATCTACAGCAGCTATAGCATTATGAATTGTATTTCTTAAATAGTAAGACTTGAAAGTCAAAATTACTCTTTCATTCATGGGCTACAGAATGGATGTTGTATTAGCAGGCATGAAAATATTAATCTCCTTGTACATCTCCCATCAGAATTCTTGCATGATCATCTATATTGTCAAAGCACAGTAATATTTTGAAACGAATCTTTTCTTTTTGGTCAGTAGGTCTAAAGAGTGGGCTTAAAGTATTCAGTAAGCCATGCTGTAAACAGATGTGCTGTTATCCAGGCTTTGTTTTTCCATTTATAGAGCATAGGAAGACTGGATCTAGCATAATTATTAAGGGCCTTAGTATTTGGGGAATGGTAAATGAACACTGGCTTCAACTTCAAGTCACAAATTGCATCATCCCCTAACCAGAGTGTCAGCTTGTCCTCTGAAGCTTTGAATTCAGGCATTGACATCTCCTCTCTAACTGTGAAAGTCCTACATAGCATCTTCTTCTGACAGAAAGCTGTTTTACCTACACTGGAAATGTGTTGTTTAGTGTAGTCACCTTCATCAATCATCTTAGCTAGATCTTCTGAATAATGCTGCAGCTTCTACAGTCACTTGCTGCTTCTATTGTCACTTGCTGCTTCACCTTGTACTTTTATGTTTTAGAGATAGCCTTTTTCCTTAAAACTCATGAACCCACCTCTCCTAGCTTCAGACTTTCTTCTGCAGCTTTGACACCTCTCTCAGCCTTCACAGAATTGAAGAGAGTCAAGTTCTTGCTCTAGATTGGGTTTCGCCTAACTGGACTATCATGACTTATTTGATCTTCTATCCAGATTACTAAAACTTTCACTCTATCAGCAATAAGGCTGTTTCTCTTTCTCTTTCCTACAATTTGCATGTTCACTGGAGGGGCAATTTAAATTTTCTTCAAGTTTTTTTTTTTTTTTTTCATTCACAGCTTGGCTTACTATTTGGTGCAAAAGGCCTAGCTTTCAGCCTCTCTTGGCTTTCAACATGCCTTCCACACTAGGCTTAGTTATTTCTAGATTTTGATTTAAAGTGAGACATGTGCAACTCTTCCTTTCACTTGATCACTTAGAGGTCATTGTAGGGTTATTAATTGGCCTCATTTTAATATTGTTATGTCTCAGGATATGGGGAAGCTTTAGCAGAGGGAGAGAGCTAGAGAACAGCCAGTTGTTGAAGTAGTCAGACGCACACAACATTTATTATTTAAGTTTGCCATCTTGTATGGGTGTGATTAATAGTGCCCCAAAGTAACTTCAATAGTAACATAAAAAATTACTGATCACTTATCAACATAACACATATAATAATGAAAACATTTGAAATATTGTGAGAATTAACAAAATGTATCACAGAGAAATGAAGTATGCACATGTTAGAAAAAATGGCACTGATAAGGCAACGTGCAGTGGTTCATTCCTGTAATCCCAATAATTTGAGTGGCTGAGGTGGGCAGATCATTTGAGATCAGGAGTTCAAGACCAGCCTAGCCAACATGGCAAAATCCCATCTTTACTAAAAATACGAAAATTAGGCAAGCGTGGTGGCATATGCCTCTAATCCCAGCTACTAGGGAGGCTGAGACAGGAAAATCACATGAACCCAGGAGGCAGAGGTTGCAGTGAGCCGATATCATTCCACTGCACTCCAGCCTGGGTGACAGAATGAGACTCCGTCTCAAAAAAAATAATAAAAAATAATAGTACTGATAAGTATATTTGATACAGGATTCCCACAAACCTTCCCTTTGCAAAAAAAAAATCTCAATATTTGTGAATTGCAATAAAATAAGTTATGCCAATAAATTAGTGACAGAAACATAGTTCTCTTTTGTCTTGAATGGAGATGAATTTCATGATGTATAATAAACACTACTTGATAAAAATGGCTGCTATGTTCTAAATGTTTATATCCCCTTAAAATTCATATATGAAAATCCTACCCCCAAAGCAATGGTATTAGTAGGTGGAGCATTTCAAGGTGGTTAGATCATGGAGCCCCCAATAAATGAGATTACTGCTTTTATAAAAGGGGGAGTCCTCTCTTTCCTACTGCCATGTAAAGTTATGGTAGAAGGATGGCCACCTATGATTTAGGAAGTAGGCCTCAGCAGATACTGAATTTGTCAGCAAACTTGATTTTGAACTTCCCAGTCACCAGAATTATAAGAAGTAAATTTCTGTTGTTTATAAACCACTTAGTTCATGTTTTTTTTTTTAATAGCAGCCTGAATAAACCAAACACCACTCTGAATTATAAAATAGGCCAATATGTAAAATAGTAAGGCATGGCACTTTGAATATTTCTTATTTTACATTCATCACATACTTATTAATGAACTCTTGCCAAGAAATTTCAGCAAAAAAGAGGCTGTTGAATATATTTGAACAATGTAAGTCAAAAAAGAGGCGGTTCAATATATTCAAACAATGTAAAGTTTGATAGCTTCTTTTACTGTCACTTGCTTTTCAGTAATAATTGTATTCTTAGTTCATTTCATTTATATTTAAAAATGCTTATGTATCATTATAATAGATTCATTTAATAAAGTTAGGCAAATATTTTCAGTCAAACTAGTTTATTTTAAAATGTTATTTGAACTTACTGCAGCTATTTCTCTATAGATATTACTGAAAATATAGTATAAAATGTTTTATCAAATTAGCTTTTTTTAAAAAAATCACATAAAATAGGCCTCCAGTTTTTAGTACAGTATTTAGTTTTATTTAAATAGGCATTTCATTTAACATATATTTTCAATAACATGTAATAAAAATGTTTATTTTCAAAATAATTATTACCAAATGATAATGTTTGCTTACCAAATCAAAAGAAAATTTATGAATTATAAAAATCAAAAGAAGGGATTTTTAGGAGATTCAGCTTTTCCAGCAAAAGTTCTTACAGAATTTTATTAAAGGCCCCTGTGATTCTATTAACTCTTAGTTTATATGGGATATCTATTTTAGCTAAACAATATTTGAAACAAATGGTCACTTGTTAATAATGAGTCTTCAGGGCTTTATTTATTCATTTGTTTAATTTTGCAAAGACAGCTATTCATGTGAATATGACACGTATTGGAGAGATTGGAACTACAATGCAAAAACTTTTTTAAAAAAATAAGGGAAAAAATATCCTAACAGATGTCTGCATCTCACATATACTGTCCAAATAACCAGAGCCCTTTCCTCCTGGGGAATTATTTTTAAGTTACAGCACAGAGAGAAGGAGTTTTTGCTCTGAGTCTTGAATTTTACATTATTTATATTTATAGTAATGTATTTTTTTTAACAAGGAAAGCTGTCTTTTTGCACATAAATTAATACAGGCGGGTGTTGTCAAAAACAAAATTATCGTTTTTATATCTTATTCAATAAGTGGTGCAGTTTCTAATCAATATCAGAAATTCTCAGAGAGATATCAGGATGAGCAGCTAAATGATTTTAAAAATGTGTGCAGCTCCTGACCTAATCAATCTCAAATGCAATTTTCAGAGAAATAAAAAGATTTTGAAACTTGGTATATTTTACTAAATATATGAGAAAAGAAATGATTGATTATGACTTTGATTCTCTGGGGACCTCTGGTTTCCATTAAATTTAACCATGAGCCTGCTGTCATTTTTTACTCTTGTATAAAATGAACTAATAAGACTCAGAATAAGTTTTACAATTTTAAATTTATGCACACACCAAGAAGTCCATTCAATGTAATATTCTTACCCATAAAACTGTCATTACTCTTGTATGTTATCAATGTCATTCAATTCAAGTAACATTTAAGCACATAAACGTGAAAAGTCCTTGTTCTTTGTGCTGTGCGGTATACACAGACTATCAAGATGCTAGTCTAAATAAGCTCATAAATTATGGAAAACTTAAGAGAGAAGTATCCACACAAATAATGCCATTGACAGTGTAATATAATATGTATCCTATAAGGACATGAAGATAGAGACGGTTCTGCAACTTGGAGTGGAAAATGTAGTTTAATCTCCCCCAAATTTTTGACATTTGTAGAAAAACATTGTATTTGGAAACTTTGGAGCAGAGTCACTCTAAGAACAAATATTAAAATGCTTAATTATCCTTCCTGATGGGGTTAAAAATGCAGATTCCTGGAGGCCATTACTAGATAGTCTGATTCAGTAATTATGAGCTGGAACTCAAGAATCCATCATTTTTAACAAGCACCTCAGGTGATTCAGATCAAGCTGCCAAAAATGACCGTTTGAATCACAAGAAGTACCTTGGATTTTACATGAGAAGGCTTTTATTTTCCCTTATTTTATTGTAAGTTAACCCAATAGTCTTCAAATACATTATATCCCCTTTCATACTTTTCTTTATTTTGGTTAACTTGGCCAGAATCTATTTCTTTTGCTTAGTGCTTTATGCTGTACATACGATTTTTGAATAGATGTCTCTGGTTGTTCCTTAAGGCAATTTATAAATATATAAACAAATGATTTTAAGAAATTACTTTGATAATGTGCTTATAATCTGTGAATTCTTAGAAGCTCATAAATGTAATGATGGAATCCAATGTGAAATGCTTTTTCATGCTGCTGTGTATATTCTCTTTCTCAATGAATGTTTTCTAAATTTATTTAAGTTATTTAAAACTTCCTTTGCTTTTGAGGGAAAAAATGAATTATCTTTCTGTATATTTTGTCTCATATTTTAATTTGACTTATCTATGTTTATCTAAAACAGAAAGGAATTTCACCCTTTTGACTTGGAAATTATAATAAAGCCCATTTTAAAAATGAGAAATAATGCCTGCTTTACGAAAAATGCAGGTAATATTTCCAAAGAATAATTTTCCATTATTTGGTTTCCACAATTATACTGCAGTTTACACTTTGAGTCTTTAAGACTTAGGAAAGACTTAGCACTATCTTCAGTTAATAAATGCTCCATGAATCACTGACTTTATGTGCTCTCAGTTTGTTTTTCTAGATTAGTTTATGCACTCATTCAAAAATAATAAAGTTTCCCAATGCTGTGCTTTAAAATGAATATAGAATGGTAAACAATACACAATCTCTTCCTTTGGGACTCTTAGAGAGAGAGAAAAGTAAACTATTTTCACCACAAAGTGTGATAAAAAAATCACATAACCCGCCAAGCTAAATTATGTGTTATTGTTAGATGTATGTTTTAACACTCCCTTTTCTTCACAGCACAGACTATGATGATTTTATATACACATACATAAGGAAGACATCTATGTCTTACTTATGACGTAAGAGTAATGATGTGATATAGCTTATTGATTATTTGCCCAGTGGCTAGTGCCTAGTACATAGAAGGGTAGTCAGTAAGTATCTGTTAAGTGAATCAACAAGATGTCTTTCCTATAGATTTGTTTTCTGAAAGGCTGAGATTCTCCTAGGTGTATTATTTTGTCAAAGAATATTGGGCAATTTTACTTAATTATGCTCCTATAAAAATAACAGTATTTCTAGTCCTTTCGGTATATAGGGCTATAAATCATATAGTACAAAATAATAGTGAAGTCAGATCCATATTTATTATAAATTATATTTTAAAATGATACCTGATATAGTGGAGATATTGAAAAATTAAAATGCCTACAGATTTTTCTACCTGTGATTCTTCTCAATCACTTATTAATTTAATTTGGATTCATATACATTAGAGGTGAATTGGGAAAGTAGGCTTTTTACTCTAAAGAACATACCTAGAGATAAGACCTATAATGCCTAGTATTAATATTTATTGGTAGGTAACATGTTAAATTGCATTTGAACAATGTGGGTGTTGGGGGCACCAACCCCTGAAATAGTCAAAATCTATGTAAAACTTTTGACTCCTCAAACAATTACTAATAGCCAACTGTTGACTGGAAGACTTACCAGTAATGTAGTCTACTAACACGTTTTCTATATTATATGCATTACTCTATTCTTACAATAAAGTAAGCTAGAGAAAATAATGTTATAAGAAAATCATAAGGAAGAGAAAATATATCTACTATTCATTAAGGAGAATTGAGTCATCTTTAAGGTCCTTATTGTCTTCACATTGAGTAGAGTGAGGAAGAGGAGGGATTGGCTAGAGTGAGGAAGAGGAGGAACAGGAGGGATTGGCTTTGCTGTCTCAGGAGTCGCAGAGGTGGAAGAGGTGGAAGGAGAGGCAGGAGAGAGACACATTCTGTAACTTCATGAAAATACATAGTAACTTTTGTCATAACTGTTTTCTTTTTCATTTCTATAGGAATGTTTCTGTACAGTACCAATCCTTCTCCTGCCATTTGCTTTAGTTTCAGTAGCTGTATTATAGAAGAGTCTATGTCCTAAAAGAAATCAAAACCAACGTTGAGCAATCAGAACTCTTCTGCCAGATTGCCTAATGTCAAAATGTTTTCTGGCAATGCTTTTTCTATGTCTTCTTCCACGTCTTCTTTCTCATCTTCTGGCACTGGTTCATAAGAAATCATCATCAGGTGGTCTTCTGCTAATTTGTTTGGTGTGGTGTGTGTTAGCTCTTGAATTTCTCCAAGATACATTGCTAGAAACGCTTTACCCCCTGACCATGTTTTTTCTTTATTCTTTTTTTTTGCCATATCCACAATCTCTTTCATGATTTCCTGGATTGGCATCATCATAAATCTGGGAAGTTTTGTATAACATTTGGATACAGTTTTCTTCAGCAAGAACTTACTTAATTATGCTTGATGGCTTTCATTACTTTTCTGTAACAACAAAGGCATCTCCAATGTTATAATTCTTCCACAATTTCATGATGTTCTCTCTATCGGGATTCTCTTCCAGCACTGACAATCCTTTCTAGAGAGTACTGTGTGTAATTAACCTTAAATATTCTTATGATCCCCTATGTAGAAGCTGAATTAGACACATTGTGCTTAAGAACAAATAGAGCACTTTGACACCTTCACTGTTGAACTCAAGGGGTTGTCAGTGGCTAGGGGCATGTCCACTATCAAAAGAATTTTTAAAAGTAGTCCCTTACTTGCTAAGTACTTCCTGATTTCAGAAACAAAGCATCAATGGAACCAAGTCAGAAAAAGGTTTCTCATTGTCCAGGCCTTCATGTTTTACAACCAAAAAACTGGAAGCTGTTTATTTTTTTTCCCTTCAAACTTAGTGTGTAGCAGCTTTATAGATAAGAGCAGCCCTGATCATAATAAACCCAAGTGTGTTTGTATAAAACAGTAGAGTTAGCCTATCTCTACCGCCTTAAGTCCCGATGCTCACTTTTCATCCATGCTAATGAATGTCCTTTGTGGCTTTTTTTTTTTCTAGAATAGGACACTTTCATCTGCATTTGTTCAGGCAAATATCATTTTTCCTCAGTGATTTTCTTATTGGCATCTGGGAACTCTGCTGCTGCCTCTTGGGCAGCAGAAGCTGCTTCTCCTGTTATCTTGAAATGTATTAAGCCAAACTCTTCCTAAAATTATCAAGCCATCCTTTGTTGGCATTAAATTTTCCAGCTTGAAATCCTTCACCTTCATTTTGCTCTAAGTTATCATATAATGATTTTGCTTTTTCTTGCATTATATCAGAGTCTATAGTTATGCCTTCCTTAGAGCAATCCTGAATCTCCATAAAAGCTGCATTTTAAATATGAGATTAAAAATAAATATATTTCACAAAAAGAAGTGCAGTTTTCACATCTGCTGATGTAGCTGCAGTGATGGTGTCACAAATTTTCTTTTCTTTATCACAATGGTTCTTAGTCTGAATTCATTTATCTCAAAATGGCAGCAACTGCAGACCTCATTCTATGGTACATATCAAGCAATTTAACTTTTTCTTGTAATGTCATGACTTTTCTCTGCTCTTTGGGAGCACTTGCAGCATCACTAGTGGCACTTCATATGGGTTCAGTGGTGTTATTCAAGGTTTACGTATTGTACTAAACAGGAAGAAAAATCTATAAGAACTTTGAAAAATCACTTTTTACTGTGATGCACAATTTGCTGGAGAGATAACTGCTCACTTGGAGATGATTAGCATCACATGATGTTTTAAGTGGCTACTCATAACACTTGGGATCACTGCAATAGCTACAGGAGGTGGTTATAAAATTATTGCAGTGGCCAGGCACAGTGGTTCACGCCTGTAATTCTAGCACTTTGGGAGGCCAAGGTGAGCAGAGTACCTGAGGTCAAGGATTCCAGACCAGCCTGGCCAACATGACGAAACCCCATCTCTACTAAAAATATAAAAATTAGCCGGGCATAGGAGCCCATGCCTGTAATCCCAGCTACTCGGGATGTATGAGCACTATGTATGATCTGTGTTTGTTTGCTTAGTCTTTGATAAATTTTAACTTTTCACAGTGGATTTGTGTATATTTTATGGTAGTGAATAATACGATAAACTAGTATCTACATACACTTTATGCATTCATTACATTTCTAACTTTTTCACAACTTTTTTTTTTTGTATTTCTAGGCTTGGCAATTCATATTTGAGGTTTTTACATTGTTACAAATCTACCCCAAATTTTCCAACAATACTTATTGAAAAAAATCTGCTTATAAATGTATGTGTCCATTTCAAACCTGTGTTGTTCATGGAACAACTGTATTACATTCTTATTATAGAAATAGCTACTGTATTAAAGCCACAGATTTTATAATCATTGGTATGACAATCTAAAGCAATTTTACATAGTATGAGATTGGAAAGTTTAGGTAACATCTGGGGTCACAGACTGAAGAGTACCAAGGTGAAATTCTACTAGGCCTTTGAGACTTCACATTTGGTACAATTGTTTAGACCTTTTACTGCCTTTGTATGTGTGGAGATAGGCTAGTAACCTCTGTGTGAAGGAAGACTTTGCTTGGAAGGCTTATCATATAATCTTAACATCACTAGCTATGTGGGATTAAATCCTAGGGAGAGCAGTTTCATGTTATTATCTTGGAATGCAGAGATGTCTGCACCATCTTCAAGCAAAAGAAGTGGCTTCTTCTACAGTCCTAGTGGGTTCCAGGGAATTTGGGCTCTACTGTCCTTAGAAGTAAGTCCTGGACCTGGCCCTCATTTTTTACAGATCTGTGGCTGCCAAGAATGGAGTCTAAATGCTTCCAAAGTGACCCCCTAAGTTTCATTCTTTAAAATGGTGATTATTCACCCTTAATCTTTGCCTTTTTCAATGCCTTAATGATACCCAGCAAGAGCCATCTGATTACATTATTGTGATTTCCACTCCCACTGTTCCTCACAAATGTGTGTGATACTGCATTTGCAAAGACATTCTCTGGTATCCTGATCCAGTCCCCAGCTAGTAGCAAGTTTTAACAGTTGCCCTACTACAGCATGCTATGGGCCATTCACACTCCACCTGCAACCACTGACAGAGACTTTTTTCTTTCAGCTGACAATTTAGCTTCAAAGCATCATTTTACAGTCCATGTCCTAGGCCATGCCGGTCTCCAACTCTTTTAAGGGAGATTCCCCAGGAAAAGTTTTAGGAAATGAGATTTTTTTTTTTTTCACGCAAGGAGTTGATTGTGAAATACTCAGAAAACAATGTCTGTGAGAGAGTGAAGGAAAGAGAAATAGACAATTTGAACAGCAATTATAACAGAGATCTTGGGCAATCCCACAGAAAGTGCTTGAGCTGGGGTACCTCATTAGAGATATCTTGAATTGAGGGAAAAGAGCTTGGTCTTTGTACCTTCATATAAAGCAATGATTGGATGTGGTCTGGGGTTGGAAGAAGAGCAAAGCATCTCCTTTCAGGTAAGGACAGGTCCTAGGCAAAGACTCAGCTATGAGTTTTCAACTGCCAACAGTCTGGGAAGCTGGGGCTAAGAGAGCCTCAGCTATGAAGACAGATCTGGGGGCACACCATGGCAACCACAAAAACAGCCAATGGGGCTATTGACTAGTAAAGAAAATAAACATGGAGTAGGCAATCCAGCTTTTGACAAGCAGAATTTTGGAAGCCAAATTGAGGGTCCTAGGTAATGTGATTGTTTTATTTTCTGAAAAAAATAATACTGCTTCGAGCATCTATATAAAGCAATCAGACCCTCTCAGGTAACAATTCAAAAGGAGAAAGAGATTGATTGGAGAAAAGTATTTTTGAGTGAATATACAAAGGTTTTAGATCAGAAAAATTGCAAACATTTTAAAATTTAATTTGTAAATGAAGAAACTCATATAAATATATTTTGAAAGAATAACACATTTATTTGATCAGCAAAATTATTTTTTAAACAAGTTTTGAAAATATAAAATTGCCATAGTTTTCAAGGCAGTGGAAAATTTATAGAACAACTGCATCACTGAGTAATTTTAAACTTCCCATAAAAAAAAATCTTGGGTCAAGTGTTAACAGATGTGTTTTATATACATTTTTTTACTGTTTCTGTAAGTAATAATAAATACCCATATTTATTTTAAAAATCGAAGTTAATTTCCTGTTTAATCAAAGATTATTTCTTGAGAGGACTCTAGTGTTATATATGGCTGTAATCTTGAAGAGAGGGTACAAATTTGTCTTTTATGTTGTATTGTGGGCACTAGTTCATTTCACTTGCCTCTGAAGGCCTCATTCATTTAACTAATCACATTTGTCCAATGTCTTCTTTCTGCTGAGTTCTAGGCTTTGGGACTACAAAGATGAACTGGGCACAGTACTTTTCACATGCCCAAATTCATGTTGAGGGGATAGAGTGGTTATTTTAAAAAATTAACACCATACAACAAATATTATACAAGAAATAAGACTGAATTGTGAAAACCCAAAAGATGGAGCAGCCATTTTTATACATTGCAGAAGGGAGAAAAATCGTTATGAAATTTAGCACCTGCCTTCCTGAATGATAAATGGGAGATTTCCAAGCAAAATACTGGAGTTAATTTTATAGTACAGATTTGTAAAGTAGTGTTAATCCTCAGTGTAGTGGGAGCATATGGTGTACTGAATGGAATGATGTGGGTGATAAGAAAGACAATGGAGGCCGGGCACTGTGGCTCACGCCTGTAATCCCAGCACTTTGGGAGGCCGAGGCAGGTGGATCACCTGAGGTCGGGACTTCGAGACCAGCCTGACCAACATGGCGAAACCCCATCTCTACTAAAAATAAAAAAATTAGCCAGGTGTGGTTGCTCTAATTCCAGTTACTTGGGAGGCTGAGACAGGAGAATCACTTGAACCCAGGAGGCAGAGGTTGAAGTGAGCCAAGATCATGCCACTGCACTCCAGCTTGGGGGACAGAGTGAGACTCTGTCTTAAAAAAAAAAAAAATGGAGTTTTGATCTCAGACTACAGTGAACAGCTTATTCCAAAGTGTAAGTTTAGATTTTGTCCCATGAATGGTAAAAATAAGCAGAGTCTTTCTAAGGAGCTGAGTAACATAGCTGTGTTTAATTTTTAGAAAAGTAATTCTGGCTGCTATGAAGTAGGACTGAGTATGGTTAGAGACAGGCAGATTACATGGAAAATGGATGCCATAATTGAAGCTAAAGATAATATCCCAGTAATAAGGTAGTGGTAGTTGATTAGAAAGAAACTTCAAAGAAAAAATAATTTCATGTAATTAGTAGAATATAATTTAAGAATGCAATGGAATTTAATTTGAAAACCATGGCTTTTTGATGTGCTAACTGGAGGGCTACCTTTGTATATAGAATGCCAGAGAGTAGCCAGATGATCAAAGGGTAGACTTGATGGCCACTAAAGAGATGAGGTTCCAATTCCTGGAACCTGTGGAACTTGTGAAAGTTACTTTATATGGTAATAGGGATTTTGCAGATGCAATTAAATTAAGGATATTGAGGACATTATCCTGGATTATCTGTGTGTGTCCTAAATGTAATCAGGAGTATCCTTATCAGAGGGAAGCAGAAAGAGATTTGAAGATAGAAGAAAAAGGCTATGTGAGGATTGAAGCAACCATGTTACACTGTTGTCTTTACAGATGAAGGAAAAGGTGGGCATAAACCAAGGATGATAAGAAAGCAGTTCTAGAAGCTAGAAAAGGAAATGGAACAGATTTTCCCCTAAAGCCCCTTGAAGGTGGCCATATCTTTTATCCCCAGAGTGACCACCTAACCTGTTTTCGTCCTCACATAAAGAGAAGCAGATATTTGGCTTTATACTCTACATCTCTTGTCAACAGTTATTAATTCTAAGCCATGGTAATTTTAATAGAATATGACATATTTCAATCCTTAAATTAAACCATCAGGACTGCCAAATCATTAACAAGCTTAAACATTTAACAAGTTAAACAATACCCCCCCCAACACCAATTTCTTTCTAGATTTTGACAAAACATACTAACAAACCAATTTAGGCTCTCTTTTCTCATAGCTAAAAATAATCTATCCATTAGCATATAGGACAAATGAATCTTTTTTCTCATATTTTGATACTTATCTATATAAATAATAAAGCAACAACTCAGAAAAACATACATTTAATAACAAATAATTCACTCATAAGAAATCAACTTGTCTTTTCTCCAACTCAAAGGCATGGAGTAACTTTCAGTTAACCAGATTAAATTAAATTCCCTGTACCCTTTATACCCATTTCGCAACCCAGTAAAATGGACAAGCATTTTGAATAGACTTCGAAATACACACACAGGCGCACACACACACACACACACACACACTCACAATTTTCAGCAGCTATTAGGCAACCAAACACTTCTTAAAGTCGCTGCCTTTTAAAAAAGACAGAACTTTCAGTAACAAATTTCAAGCCATAAACTGATTCACAATCTATGTATCTCTAATATATAAAATATATTCTGTTTTCAGTAATAGTTTGTAGGTAGCTGTATCTTAATATATGTATCTAAAATATTTCTGCTCATAAACTATAAAAAAGCAAGCAATCAAGGAGCATATAAAACCAATTGAATGGTCAGTATACTTTGTAATAAATCTGATAACCTCTATAAAATAAATGAAAAAAGTTAGGGATGATGCTATATAAAAAGTATAAAACTCATGGGGGTACTCATGAGTTAGAAAATTTCCCTTTTTGGGTTTTTCTTTTATTTTGTCATTTTGCTTTCCTCATTTATAATGAAGAATGAAAAGTCTGAATGATCTTCATTTATATGATTCTTCAATTAGTGACAAGTTAATCAGCACATTTACAAATATATCAATGCATTTACTTTCCTATATGTAAAAAATAAAATATATATACATTTACATTGTAATAACATATATAATATATTGGACAAAAAGGCCTATAAACAATAGCTATTTTATTATCTTTTTATGATCATTTATGGTCAATACTATGATCTTCCTATATGGACATTATAGTAATTTTCAGACAAGCATTCAAGCAGGAATATTTTGTCAATTCTGTTCGCTAAAGTATTTCAAACTCCTAGGATGCAGATCATTTAATACATATTTAGCAAATACTTATGGTATCCAAAAAAGACTACATGAATTTTCTGTGCTTCAATTTTGCAGTTTTAATATTATGATGATATAATTTAATAGCATTTATTTATTACCCTTGGGCATGAGGGTAAATTGTTTTATATAAAATTAATTTCTTTTTATTTTTTTGAGATGGAGTCTCACTCTGTCATCCAGCAGGAGTGCAATGGTGTGATCTCAGTACACTGCAACCTCCACTTCCCAGGTTCAAGTGATTCTTGTGCCTTAGCCTCCTGAGTGGCTGGGATTACAGGTGTATGCCACCACACCTGGCTAACTTTTGTATTTTTAGTAGAGATGGGGATTTCACCATGTTGACCGGGCTGGTCTTGAACTCCTGACCTCAAGTGATCTGCCTGCCTTGGCCTCCCAATGTCCTGGGATTACAGGTGTGAGCAACTGCACCCAGCCTATATAGAATTCATTTCAATGAACTCAATTTTATTAATGTTATTAATAGAAACTTTCCATACTTTTGCTTTTTAGGCAAAAAGACATATTTTATGTTATTTTGCATCCGCTAAAGAGCAAAGAATATAGCTCATACTTTGATGAATTGCTTGCTGGTGCCGCCACTGTGACAGGAAATTTCCCAAATATTCACCTTAACAAACATAAGATATTTTATCAACAAATATTGACTAAAATTAGAATATACGAATTATCTCAGTGGACAGGAAAGAAAAATGTAATTTAACATATGACATTTTAAATTGACACATTATAGTAATAACATAAAGCTAAAAAGTCTAATAATTAAATAAAATCATTTATAAAAGTTGAAAGATTTTCCTTTAAGGAATAAGGAATGCTGAATATCCATTTAATCATAAAGAATATTGTATGAAAACTTTTGAAGGGAAGGAAGTCAGACAGATGGTAAAAAGTGATTATTTCCAAATTAAAGAGGAAATAAAAATTCCTTCATAATTTACATGAATACATATCGAGAGCCCTATATTAAAATCTCACTAAAATTTGAGCTACTTTTATCTTAAACCCAAATGATATAGATCTTATTTTCAAATAGTGTGAGAAGTGTGTGTTTATTAAAAATATGTAATAGTGATAATCATAAAAGGTAAAATTTGTTGAGAAGTTATAGATGTAAGGTTTTATAAAATCCAGTTGATAACCATTGCTTTCTAATCTCTAACAGGAAATATTAACCCCTATTGCTTAAAAGTAGGTAGTGTATTCATGTGTGTTTTACCTAATAAAAAAGTACAACATAATATATTGTAATTCTATATTATGTATTACAACTTAAAAGAGTTTATTTTCTAAAGAAATATTTTGCTGTTGGTCAGCATTTTATATATGTGCTGTATGTTATTAATTGTTCAGTGAACTTTTGATATACAAAAGACTCCTATTTCACTCATCTGACAAAATGAATAGAAATGTACTTAAGGATTTGGAAATTGACTAAAATCTGTTTGAACATAGATAATATTATTAGTTTCTACTTGGTGTGTCTCTATCACTACGAATAGCTAAAATTGTATGAGTTGCTTCCTTCCTCACTAATTTACCACTTGGTTATCAAAAACAAGCCATAGGCCAAATTATGCTATCGTGCACACATTTATTGCATCAATGAGGTCTCTGTTCTCTATCTTTTGGTGGTCTCAGAAATTGCTTGCATAAAAGTTTCACAGTAGGTCACTGTTGACAATATTCAAGTCGTTGGATTATCTTAACATCTTTCAGAGTCAAAAGAATGGGAAATTCCTGAACGAAGGGAGAGGTAAAGGATAATTAAATTATCAAACCTAGGGTGCCATTCCTATGGCTAATGACTATAGGGCTCACTACATCCTGGTCAAGAAGTAACTAAGAATGGCTGTAAAATATTTACTAAGTCTATATATGTTTAATAATAATTTCGCTAATGAAATCCAATTTGTAAATTAATATTTTGCTATTTGCAAAAGTATTGAGTGTTGGTCAGAGATAAAGATAACTGAAGTATTTGCAGTAACTATCTTTAGAATGTGGGCTTTCTAATCAGAACACTAGCTTACTACACCTAGAGAGAGATTTTCTGCTAAAGAAAGATAAACCATTGTCTGTAGAGTGACACTCAGAATAATACATGCACGCACACATTCATATGCATATCTTTTACCATAAAAGTTCAAAACATTTTAAACTACATAGAAAATATCATTCAAATAGTCCTGAGTACAGTAATACAGAAGCAAGGAGATATGATAATAGGACTAAGGGCACACATTTTTAAGCCTCATCGAGCTAATCAAAATTATAGAAATTTGTGTTCTTGATACAAATGTTTATACCACCTAAATCATTTTTTAATTAAGATATACTTACTCTTCGGTAATCTATTCAGAATTTGGTGCACTTGTTCTATATTTCTCTCTCTCTTTTTTTGAGGGTTGTTGGGGAGGAGACCTGGTCTTATTCTGTTGCCCAGGCTGGAGTACAATGGTGTGATCACAGCTCATTGCAGCCTCAAACTCCTGGGCTCAAGCGTCCCTCAAGCCTCAGCCCCTCAGCCTCATGAGTATCTGGGACTACAGGCATACAGCACCATGACAAGCTTTTTTTTTCTTTTCTTTTTTTTTTGTAAAGATAGGGTGTCTTCCTATGTTGCCCAGACTGGTCTCGGACTGCTGGATCAAGTGATCCTCCCGCCTTGGCCTCCCAAAGGGCTATGATTTCAGGCATGAGCCACCATGCCCCACCTACTTGTTCTGTTTTTGTAACACAATTTAGAGTAAAGAAATAACACAATTTATCTATCTAATACAATTAGATAAAGAGAGAGATAAAGAGATACATAGATAAATTAGATAAACAGTTTATTTTTATTTAACACAACTAGATAAATAAAGTTTAAAATAAAATAAACCTCTGTTTATCAGACCATCTCATTTACTACTAGTGGTGTAGTTTTTGGAAACCCCCTTATGATGGTGTTTATGCTGAAAAGTGAAGAGAAAGAACTAATGGCTAGAAAGCAAGTGTGCTAACCGAGAAATACTGAGAAGAATAGCAACTAGAATAGAAGTGCAGGGTTAGGAGTGATAAAGCTGAAGAAGTAGTGACAAAGAACAGAATATCATAATTTGAGGTTTTGGAGATAGAAAATTTCTTAGGGGAAACGTGAGGAAGTTATGATTATGTTTTTGGTGACTTCACTAGAGTTGAAGAATGAAAACTCTGGATTGAGAATTTTAAAATACTAATGGATCAATAAAATAATTATGATGATAGATAAATTATGAATTTTTAGTATATGAGTATAGAAAAACCGCTTCAGAAATTATCTCCCCCAAATTTCCTATTATTTTTCTAGTTTTATAAATAAAAAGATAGGCTAAGTAAATTGCCTAATAGCATAAGGGCTCAAAACAGAAGCTGAATTGCAACTCAAGTGCACTGAGCATTATAAAGGTGTATTGGTAGGATTGTGAGTTGGGAGAGGATTAATGATGTAATAAAATGAATAGAATACATGAAAATGCCTTATAAATTCCCTCTGGACTTATTCCATTGTACTGATGAAGCATGCATTTTTTGAAAAACATTATTCCTAGCTTATAAATGACTGAGAGGTGAACAGTGTAGCTGTTGAGTATTTTAAAGAGGAAGAGGAATTATACACACACAGATATGCATGTATATACAAATATACAATTTATGTGTATATAAATTGTGTGTGTATATATATATATATATGATATATTGGAAAGGATAACTGATCACTTCATTCCTGTTCACTACAGTTAGATGATCATAATAGGATTTCATTTACTTATATTAAAATTTATTTGAATAATTAATAGTTTACAACAACAGATACATACAACACCACTGACCAAAATGTTCCTTTGGGAAACACGTCTTTAAAGGGCTACATTCCATAATCAAAGTCAATTAGTTCAACCACTGTGGAAGACAGTGTGATGATTCCTCAATGATGTAATGACAGAACCACTATTCAACCCTGCAATCCCATTCCTAGGTATATACCCAAATAAATATCAATTGTTCTATTATAAAGGCACATGCACACATATATTCACTCTGGTACTATTCACAATAGCAAAGACAAGGAATCAACCTAAATGACCATCAGTGATAGACTGGATAAAGAAAATGTGGTACACATACACTATGGTTTATGCAGTCATAATGAAGAAATAAATCATGTCTTTGCAGGGATATGGATGGAGCTGGAGGCCATTATCTTTAGCAAACTAACCCAGGAACAGAAAAC
The DNA here is from genome assembly GCF_000001405.40 of Homo sapiens. NCBI lineage: Eukaryota > Metazoa > Chordata > Mammalia > Primates > Hominidae > Homo > Homo sapiens. Next base: position 64,960,911 of record NC_000006.12, on the reverse strand, counting down.
CAAATACTGTATGTTCTCATGTGTCAATGGGAGCTAAATGATGAGACCACATGGACACATAGAGGGGAACAACACACATTGGGGACCATCAGAGGGTGGTGGGTGGCAGTAGGGAGTAGGGAGAGGATCAGGAAAAATAACTAATGGGTACTAGGCTTAATACCTGATGATGGAATATTCTGTACAAGAAACCACCATAATACAAGTTTATCTATGGAACAAACCTGCACATATACCCCTGAACTTAATATAAAAGTTAAAAAGAAGGAAAAATATAGAAATGCCAAATGTAAGATGGCACGGATTTATTTTGTGACATCAAAGATTTTGGGAACAGACTCAGAATTGTAGATATAAGTTGAATCACAATTGGCTCTTCTAAAAGTAGAAAATGAAAAGGAAAACCTATAAATAATTTGGAATATATATTGGAAAAAACAAAGTTATACAAAACACTGTATTCAGTGACCTAGGTTCTACATTGTTAAAAAATTATTGACAGCAATTTAAAAAGGTAAAAGGAAAAATCCTTTCAAAATCATTTTTGTCTTAACATTTGAAGACAGTTGCTTAAAATTATCCCTTATTTTACAAGAAAATGATTATATGACATATGACTATAAAGTAACTATTTACATATTCTACATAATCAAAGATTACTTTTATTGTTCATATTAATATTTATAATGAGAAGGTATTAGTAATTTCCTCTCATTATAAATATTTGTTAACAGGATTAAGAAAATATCTGGAAAACTATTTGTAAACTTCAAATCACAAGTCAAACTTAGCCTTAGAGACTCCACTTTTTTTCTATACCTGAAAATTACCATTGATTTTATTCAATTGAAAGGCATTAAGACTAATATCACTTATGTGCTTGGTAAGTAAAACATCAATCATTGTGACTCAGTAATACAAATTTCTCTCTGCAAGTTTTTAAACACACATTTGCCCATGCACTGTGGTAAGTGATTGGCAACAAAGACAAACTTTAACAGTGGTTCTTCTTAAAAAAAAAAAAAAAAAAAAAAAATCCTGAGTCGTGAACTACTTAACTGTGTTTGCAGCTGAAACTTTACAACATAGTTTTGTTACTCAGGGATTAACCAATCACTAGGAACACCTTAGACATCTGGTCAGAATACTTGGCACAATAGAGAGACAGTTCTTGTTAATATCTGGTGCTTTTAGAAACTATAAATAAGGCAATAAAAATATAATCATTTTAGAATTGAAAGAGTAAAAAAAATCACTGAGTTCAAATTTGTTGATTTAAAATTAAGACCAGTTATGACCAATTGGATAAGATGTTCAATAGCCTACATGTCATAGCATCTGGGACCAGAATCAAATACCCTGACATCTGCCTAGGGCATTTTACCCATGTCTCCATTCACATTAAGTCAATATCATGAGTGGTTTAATGTGTGTAGAAAATATTTATGGTATCTGTGGATAGAATGACAACAGAACCTTCATTCCTGAATTCAAAAAATAAAGAATAATGAAGGAAAAGAAAAAAACACTTATGCTTCTGATATCCCTGATTACTCTGAGGAGAGGAGTAATGATTATGTCAATAATAACACATTCTACAATGCAAAACACAGATTGGAGGGCTTGTTTTCATAAATTAATGAGTTTTACAGCAAATTTGCTTCTTGGAATTATTATTGAGGAATTATGGAATTCCAACATGCTGATGATGACAGGGATATTCGAAATTGTAGCTCACATTTTTTCTAAGTATTCTTACATTGTTCTACTCCCTTCTCACCTGCCGCTTACATGGTTACCACAACTACGACTGAGTATTTATATCCCCCATCTTACCCCTACTGGTTTCTAATGCAAAGCAGGTAGTCTATCAGCCAGCAACAAAATCATAATGGCTAACCATAAGACAAAATAGTCCTCTTATCAAGGAACTATAACCTACAGATATACAAGTCATTCAATAATTGTTAAGGTCCTGGGATATGAAGCCAGTTTATATTATTTACACTCCAATGATTGTGTGTCTAACTGTAATGTTTCCAGAATTCCTCTTACCAATTGCCAAGAAATTATTATGTTTATGAAATATAAAATGTAAAGAAACACCACAGTTTGATTACAGTATGTATATTTGCTGAAGATTGTTTCTTTTTTTTTTTTTTTTTTTTTTTTTTTTTGAGACGGAGTCTCGTTTTGTCGCCCAGGCTGGAGTGCTGTGGCGCGATCTCCGCTCACTGCAAGCTCCGCCTTCCGGGTTCACACCATCCTCCTGCCTCAGCCTCCCGAGTAGCTGGGACTACAGGCGCCCGCCACTGCGCCCGGCTAATTTTTTGTATTTTTAGTAGAGACGGGGTTTCACCGTGGTCTCGATCTCCTGACCTCGTGATCCACCCGCCTCGGCCTCCCAAAGTGCTGGGATTACAGGCGTGAGCCACCGCGCCCGGCCTGAAGATTGTTTCTTAATCTCTGTGAAAGTGAGGTTTAGATTCAGATGACATTAAATTTGTTTGTTTTGTTTTGTTTAGTTTTTGAGATGGAGTCTCACTCTGTCACCCAGGCTGGAGTGCAGTGGCGCGATTTTCGCTCACTGCAACCGCTGCCTCCCGGACTCAGGCGACTCTCATGTCTCAGCCTCCCGAACAACTAGGATTAGAGGCCTGAGCCACCGCACCCAGCCAAAATTTGATGTTATATACATATACACACAACATATGGTATATACGTATGTTATTATATATACTAGGTATATTTATAATTATATGTAATACATTGTGTATGTATAATTATACAAATATATTTTATGTGTGATATATATACAGAATTACATAAAAATGCTTTCAGTTCAAACTTAAAACCATTTTACAGAAAAAAATCCTAATAAATGTAAAATATTAGAAGTTTTACAGAACATAAAACTGTCAAATAGGCTAAAATACAGTTGAACGTTTCTTTATATTATCTCATATTGGTCATTTTATTTTATTTTACCAGGTGATTAAATGAACTATTTAAGTAGGTATTGAAAATATTTAAAAACAATAAGCAAATACCATATTATTTGTTTGGTATTTGTCTCTGTTTTGCTGTGAAAAAGCCTAGACGATTTTTCCACTTTTACAGGCACTAATTTTTTTTGATGAAGGAGGTTGCATTTATTTTTATTTTTATATTTGCGGGTACATAATAGGTGTATATATTTATGGTATGCATGAGATGTTTTGATACAGGCATGCAATGTGAAATAATCAAATCATGGAGAATGAGGTCTTCATCCCTTCAAGCATTCATCTGTTGTGTTACAAATTACACAACAAATTACAATCAAATTACACTATTTTAGTTATTTCAAAATGTACAATTAAGTTGTTATTGACTATAGGCACCCTGTTGTGCCATCAAATAGTAGATCTTATTCGTTCTCCCTAATTTTTTTTTTTTATCCATTAACCATTCCCACATCTCCCAAACCATCCACTACCCTTCCCAGCCTCTGGTAACCATCCTTCTACTCTCTGTGTCCATGAATTCAATTGCTTTGATTTATAGGTCTCACAACTAAGTGAGAACATGCAATATTTGATTTGTCTTTCTGTGCCTGGCTTATTTCACTTCATAATAATCTCCAGTTCCATCCATGTTGTTGCAAATGACAGGATCTCATTCTTCTCAATGGCTCAATAGTACGCCATTGTGCATGTGTACTGCATTTTTTTAATCCATTTATCTTTTGATGGACACTTAGGTTGCTTGCAAGTCTTGGCTATTGTGAACAATGCTGCAACAAACATGGAAGTGAAGATATCTCTTTGATATACTGATTTTCATTTGGGGGGTGTATACCCAGCAGTGGGATTGCTGGATCATTTGATAGCTCTATTTTTAGTTTTTTGAGGAACCTCAAATTGTTTTCCATAGTGACTGTACTGATTTACATTCACATCAACAGTATAAGTGGATTCCCTTTTCTCCACATCTTCACCGGCATTTGTTGTTGCGTCTTTTGGATATATTAACTGGGGTCAGATGATTTCTCATTGTTTGATGTGCATTTCTCTGATAATCAGTGATGTTAAGCACCTTTTCATATGCCTGTTTGCCATTTGTGTGTCTTCTTTTGATAAATGTCTGTTGAAATTTTTTGCCCATTTATTGATCAGATTATTAGAGTTTTTTTCCTATAAAATTGTTTGAGATCCTTATATATTCTGGTTATTAGTCCCTTGTCAGATTGGTAATTTACAAAAATTTTCCTCTCATTCTGTGGATTGTCTCTTTACTTTGTTGATTGTTTCCCTTGCTGTGCAGGAGCTTTTTAACTTGATGTGATGTCATTTGTCCATTTTTGCTTTGGTTGCCTGTGCTTGTGGTTATTGCTCAAGAAATATTTGACCAATGTCCTGGAGATTTTCCCCAGTTTTCTGTGGTAGTTACATAGTCTGAGGTCTTAGATTTAATTATCTAATCCATTTTGATTTGACTTTTGTACATGATGAGAGATAGGCATCCAGTTTCATTCTTTTGTCTATGGATATCCAGCTTTCCCAGCACCATTTATTGAACAAACTGTCTTTTCTCCAGTGCATGTTCTTGACACCTTTACCAAAAATGAGTTCACTGTAGGTGTGTGGATTTGTTTTTGGGTTCTCTAATCTGTTCCATTGGTCTGTATCTGTTTTTATGCCAGCAACATGCTGTTTGGTTACTATAGCACTGTAGTATAATTTGAAGTCAAGTAATGTAATTATTTCCATTTCATTCTTTTTGCTTAGGATAGCTTTGGCTATCCTGGGTCTTTTGTGGTTTCATATACATTTTGGAATTTTTTTTTTCTATTTCTGTGAAGGATGTCATTGATATTTTGATAGAGATTACACTGAATGTGTAGACTGCTTTGCATAGTATTGCAGTTTCTCTATTCCTTAATTTAGTGAGGTCTGAGTTCTTGTCAGAGGACAAAGAAGAATAAGGCATGTGGACACCAGAGAGTGAGTAAGGCAGAGCAGAATTTGTAAAGCAATAGAAAAATTATTAGCAGTGAGAGGGGACCCAAAGCGAGTTGCCAGAAATGGTTCTGAGTGCTGGGGATATTTTTTCTGTGGGGAAAAATAAGAAAGCCTTTCGTAGGTTCTGCCTTAATAGGAGGAGTAAAGTTCCCCCGCTCCCCCGGGGACGTTGCATCTATGCATATCTGGAGTAGACCATAGTGACTCCATCGTAGTTATTACCCAAGAATGCCTAAGCAAAACCCATGGGATAGGGAGCCAAAACTGCAATGCCGATGATATTACAATTAGCTCTGGGTCATATTCAGGACATTTAGTTGATTTATTGTGCTTGCACAATAAATCCCTTCTGAGCAAACATCCTGGTATAAGAGGAAGTTCTTAACCATATTTTTTCCTGCTAACTACACCACAAGGGTGGTGCCAGTGTGTTTCCATGCGCACTGCCTCTCTCCCAAGACTCTCCCTCTCTGTGTGTGTAGCCAGCCTCTAACTATGTCCTCTCCCAATAGTATGGATGTTTTAACAATATCGATTCTTCTAATCCATGAATATGGAATTTTTTTTTCATTTTTTTGATGTCCTCTTCAATTTCCTTCATCAGTGTCGTATATTTTCATTATTGTGATCTTTCCTTTCTCTGGTTAATTCCTAGGTATTTAATTTCATTTTTGGCTATTGTAAATGGAATTAAGATTTTTTTTTTGTTGGTTGTTTGTTTTTTGAGACAGAGTCTCACTCTGTCACCTAGGCTGGACTGGAGTGCAGTGACACAATTACTGCTCACTGCTGCCTCCGCCTCCCAGGTTCAAGTGTTTCTCCTGCCTCAGCATCCTGAGTAGCTGGGACTACAGGTGCCTGCCACCATGCCCGGCTAATTTTTTGTTTTGTATTGTATTTTTGGTAGAGAAATGGTTTCACCATATTGGCCAGGCTAGTCTTGAACTCCTGATCTCAGGTGATCTACCTGCCTCAGCCTTCCAAAGTTCTGGGATTACAGGTGTGAGCCACCATGCCTAGCCTATGTTTTTGATTTGTTTTTCAGTTTGTTCACTTTTGGCATATAGAAATACTACTGATTTTTGTATGTACTGATTTTTGGTTCTTATGAAGGTGTTTTCAGTGTATATAGTTGTTAATTTGGTGCCCTTGCCAGGGGTGGGGGAAAAATTGACGAAGCTTTCTATTCCACCATCTTGCTCTGCCTCAGTTGCTAATTTTCTTTGAGGTCATAATACTGGAAATGAGTTTTGTACTTGTGGTTCAAAACTTACAAGTGATTTTTAGTCCATGGTGTACTTGCATTATTATTGTCATTTGGCTCTCAGACCAAAACATGTAATGCTCCCCAAAACTATATGTTGCAGAATTACATTTATATACTGTCATCTTTATGTGATCATCTCATACAAGATTATATTTTCTATATTCTTATTATTTGTGTACTAGGGAAAAAGCTTTGGGTATTAGACTATATCTCTAATTGTCAAATTGAGTCAATAAGGAAGATAATATTCAAAACATAATAAATATGTTTGAGCAGTACACATCAATGACAGATGAGTTATTTTTTCCCATGGTTTATTACAGTTAGTCTAAACTTCTTTATTCTAGTTTTAAATTCTTTTTTTTTTTAAACCGACATTAAAGGTAAAGGAACCCTTAAAAAGGATCACAAATGGTTTATGAAGGTAGGGCATGCCGTAAGAGAACTAAATTATAAGTAAAGATTACTAATAAAAACTATAAATTGAAAATAGCATAGTAGACAAACAGCTGAAGTTATTTTGATAGTAGATTTACTAGATATAGGAAATAAAACCAGTGGAAATTTATACTTAATGTTTGTTTTCTCATTTGGAATATTAGGCACTAAAATGACCATTTGCTTTTTTTTTTGTTACTAATGAAAAGTATAATCACATGGGAACAATGACTAAGTTTCTTAGAGGTTTATGTTTTCTTTAGAAAATGTTTTCAAAATCCAGTATAGCTTGATTTATACTCTATATTATCTTCCTCTACCATGTGACTTTTCATATTCTTCATGTATTTGTATTACATTTTCCCAAGTAAAAGAAATTGTGTTTTTCTACAAGTTTTGCCTTGAAAGTATCACTCATTGTAAAGTGTATTTTCTTTGCCTTATTTCAAAATATGTTCAATCAAATTCAGTGTTTGTAACTTTTTATAGAAATTGTTTCTAAATATTCCATTTACTTTCTGTCAGAATAATACATATTATTTTACTTTAGATTTAAAGCACCAAGATAAATCATTTTCTCTTGCTGAAAGAAATCATATTAAGATAGTTCTGTTTGTTTTTATAAATAAAGATTAGTGTTTTTATGTATAATCCTGAGTATCAGCATTCAGTATTTGGAAACCTTTGTGTCTATAGCCAACTCTATAAGTATTTATGAATTAAAGTGAAAACTTAAAATAACATTTAAATAAAAGAGATAATAAGTCAATAGGGAGAGCCCTTTATTTTTACAAGGATTAAATTCATTACAAATTTTACTTCAAAAGTTTTTTTATTAAAGCAAAGAAAAATATTTGTCCTTCTTTCAAGAGTTACATAAATAATGATCAGAAAGAGACTATAATTTGAAATTTCTATTTTTTTCAGTATATATCTACATTTTCAGTAATCTAATAGAAAGTTTCACAAAGCACACATGTTAGTAAAAAATTGTGGCTAAGACTGAATAAAATACAATAATTCTAATGTATAAAAACTTTTCAAAATGGAAGCAATCCAAGTTTTCTTTCAATGGGGATTTTAATCCTTCATTTATAGAACTGCTTTTGGTTGATTGTAATGAAATAATTATTTAAATGAATTCTTTTAAAAAAGTCTTTTTCTTGTTAGGAAAATAAGATTATTAAATATCTAGAAATGATAAATAAAATATCCTCCATGACTATATTAGTACCAATGAATATCATTATAGATGTTCCAATCTCTAGCACCTATTCAGTCAAACATTAGACACTATTCCAGATGTTATTATTGATGATAATTGTTGAACAAAGTAAAGAAAGTTTCTGCCCTCTTGGAATTTATACTTTAGAAACTAGAGAAATACGCAATAATATAATTAAGATATTTTTAAATACAATAAGCACTAAGCAGAATACAGCTTATATGTACATAAGTAACTAACATGCTTTAAATGTATCATAAAATCTAAAACAGTAAGTAAGAGAAGGTATGCTGAAGGAAATTATCAAAGCTTCAGGTACTATGTGGCACTTGTTTTGACATTTGCAGGTGGATAAAACTTGGAAAGTATGGTCAGGGATTGGTGGAAGTAGACAAAGTCATTCCAAGTGGAAGAAAGTAAAGGAAACAAACATCACAGAGACTGAGAAGTAGTTTAGCTTACCTGGACAAGTCACAGTATATGAGAACATTTTAGTTAAAATTTATGGTTGTCTTACTATGTTAGATATTACACTACGTCCTATACTCAGTGCTGTACTTCTTATACCCTCGTTGGGCAGGTAGCATTATTTCTGATGTGCCTTGAAATTAAGTAACATGCTTAAAATTATATAAGTCATAATTCTTAGAGCCTGAATTTAAATCCAGGTCATCTGTCAACAAATTCCCACAATCTTAAACATTGCAGTAAGTTCTCAGGTTTTGTTTTTGTAAAAAGTGAGTTTGTTCTGCTTTCATAATTGAAGTGTATTTTTACTGGGTATAGAAGTTTAAATTGGCAGTTATTTTCTTTCACTCCATTATGATGTTGGCTCACTGGGTTCTTGCTTCTGATACTGGGGAGTAAGTTGTGATCTTTGTGTCCCTTTGAAGATAATATGTCTTTGTTCATTGGCTGCCTGTATGATTTACTCCTTGTCTTTCATTTTCAGAAGTTTTAATCTAGATAAAGTTTTATTTTTATGTATCCAGCATAGGTCTCAAGAACTTTCTAAATCTGTGGTCACTCTCTTTTTGCCATCTTTTGAAAATTCTCAGGCAGCAATTTTTCAAATATTGTTCTTGCCCAATTTCTCTACCTTCGTTTTTGATATTCCAATTAAACAAATAATGGCTATTTTCATTAGTTCCCATATTTCGTTTTCTTTTATGACTGTTATATCCTTTATATAAATATTTCAATCTGTATATCTTTTACTAGCAAGTTTATTAATTCTGTCTAATAAGTCTATTATTAAAATAATATATTAAGTCATTAAATTTCAGGTTATAATTTTCAAACTCAGAGTTTTTCTTTGTCTCTTTTATAGATTTCAGTTTTCTAGTGGAATTCCCTATTTGTCTTCTATATTTTTATATGTATTCATCATAAGTATTTTTAAATCTCTATCCAATAATCACAGTATCTCAATAGTATATTTCTACTGTCAGTTTGTCTCTTGACATTTGGTAATCAGCATTTAAGAAACTTTTTTATTGAATGGCAGACATTTGTTTCAAACTTTGAAAAGCTCCATCTAATGTTAACATCTTCCAAAGAGGATTTTTTATTTTTATTTTTCTGGCAGACAGAATAGGAATGCATGATCACATTTTAGGCAAGTATGGTTTTCATGCCGTTAAAGCTGTTTTTGTTTTTGTTTTTTTGCTGGTTTTTCTTCAAGATATGCCCCTCTGTTGTGTTCATTGAAAGCTAGAAGTGTTTAACAAGACTGTAAGATATTGCTGGCCCTAAACTCCAACTTTTATCTTCCTTGCACTACTAGACTGCTAATGCTTTACTTCTGTGTAATTTCATACTATAAATACAAGGTTGAAAGGGAACAAGTGCCTCTATAGAATAGGGCTGATCAAATTGTGGGCTCACTTCTCTGTTCTTCTCTTCACGGACCTAATCTCCTTGACCAAGCTGAATGCTAGTGTTTTCTTTTCATTCAAAGAAGCTGCTGCAAACTCCAGCTACTACTTTCTGCTTATCTAGATGCAACTACTTATCTGGAAGCAAATGGGCAGATGTCCTGGTTTGAAAAGCAGAGCCCTCTGTAGTCTTAACTTTGCTTGCTTCTTATCTCTTTAGCTTTAGAAGATCTAGTCAACTTCAGTTGTTCTTGTAACAATTCAACAATATATATATATATATATATATATATATATATATATGTATATGTATATGTGTATATATTTTTTATTCAGTTTCTACATTTGTTTTTGATAAACTGATGTTTGGCAGGGTTTTTTTAAATCATTTTGTAGGTAGTTGTTGTTAATGTAAGTACATTCCCATTTTGTTTTCATTTGCTAAAAGAAATTTTTAGAATGTGTATTGAATTTTATAAAATATTTTTCTGCTCTGAAATGATAAAACCATTTTTCTTTCTCTAAAAGATTTTCTTGTGTTGAGGCATATTTCCATTTCTGGCATATTTCCAGCTCAAACTATATAATGTATTTTAAATACATTACTGTTTTCGACTATCTAAATTTATGTTTTTTTGAAAAAAATTGACTTTTTGATCCTAAAAACATTGGCTAAATTTCTATTTGTTGTTATATGCTTGCTAGAATTTGGTAGCTAGGTTTTGATAGTCTCAAAAAATAATTTGAGTAGTTTTTCCTGTTTTTCTATTCTCTTCACCTATGTGGCATAAGAGAATAAATAAAGACTTGGGAGTAATTTTGTTTGAGTCTATGTTAGCAAATCTCCCTCCTTTGGTATATTTTTAAATGTCTACTGGTTTAGTGTGATTTTCTATTTCATCTTGAATACATTTTCCTCATTTATATTTTCTTATATTAATCCACTTCATGTAAGTCTGTGTTCATAAATTACATATTGCTGGATTCTCTTGCTCTTCCTCCTTCTTTGTTTTTCCTAGTCTGGTTATCTCTTATTACATGGCTTAAATGTTTATAAAAATAAGTAATGTATTGATGAATAGGTTTGAGCCAATCGTGGTACTTCTGTCAATTATTCTTTGACGTTGTTAGATCTAGACTGTTTTGCCTAGAGGTAATGGCTACTACTAATTAATGATAATTATTTGTCGCTAGGCTAAGAATATTATAGTTATTACTACCTTCAAGGCTTAAGTATATTTATGAAGTATAAATTGTTAGTACTTTACATATGAAGGCACCTGAGGCTTGGAGAACTTGAGTAGGTTACTTGGAAAGATTAAGTAGATTAGTAGATATTAAAGGCAAAATTTTAAGATGATCCTCGAGATTCCCATCTCCTGGTGTATATGCCCTGTAAAATCTCCCCTTGGGTGTGAGTGAAACCTGTAAATATGATACTTCTTCCATGATTATATTATATGTAGAAAGAGATTTTACAGTGTTATTAACACCCCCAATAAGTGACTTTTATTTAATCAAACATGTGGTTGTCCTACATGGGCTGCCCTAATTAAATGGGCCTTTAACAAAACAAGAGGTAACAGCAGAGATTCTCCTGTTGTCCTTAAAAAAACAAACTGGCATGCTGTGAGAGGAGGAGGCCATGTGTCAAGGACCTGCAAATACCTTCTAAACGCTGAGAGTAGTCTTTACCTGGTAGCTAGCAAGAAAATGAGATCTGAGTCCTAGAGGCAGAATGAAATGAATTCTGCTACAATCATTGAACTTGGAAGAGAACTCCATTTCCTAGGTGAGATCACATCCCAGTCAATACCTTGATTTCAGCATGGTGAGACCGAAAGCAAAGGATTTAGGTGACTGACTCTTGTACACTGACTTATTGAAACTGTGAGACAATACATTTATGTTGTTTTAAGACACGAAACTTGTAGTAATCTTTTAGGCAGTAAGAGAAAACTAATATACTAGATGTCTAGAGATTTAATAAGCATCAGAGATATTGTTTAATCTCTCTAACTTGAAAATTCATGTTCACAATTATGCTATCCATCTTACTTTAGTACATCTGTTACTGATAAGAAAAATTTAAAATATCTGGCTGTTGATCTGAAAAAGTGAACTACTATATAGTTTATGCATTTACAACTATCAAACTTGACAGCTTTGTCTTTATTTTTTTCTCACTGGCTGCAGAGTTCAATATTGTAGACCTGTGTTTTTATCATCTGTCTTTCCTGTCACATGCATATTTTCAAACTACTGTTTTATCCAAGTTTAGTAGGAAGAGTAATGTCTACTTTGTAGTGAGAAGTTAAAAAATGATAAGATTCTAATTTAATAAATAATGTAAACCTTTACTCCTTTTGGTAAACACATTTTAATAATACTTTCCTTTTCCATCAAAATTGGCTGAAAATGTGCTTTTAAAAATAGTATTTTACTTTAATACTATTTAATACTATTTAATACTAGTATTTACTATTATTTAATATTATTTAATATTTAATAATTACTTAATATTTAATATTAAAATATTAAATATTAATATTAATTATATTTCAGTTTTCTAGTGGAATATAATTTCTATTTTTATAATTAATATTAAAATATTTAATAGTTATTAATATTTAATATTTAATAATATTAAATACAATATTTAATATTATTTAATACTATTCTGGCCACTGTATTGACCAGTGCAAATTTAAGGAACAGTTATTTTAAATTACTGGAATCAATTATTCAATGTTGAATGAGAAACTGCTTTGCAGCAAGAATGTCTAAATTGAGGAAAATGCTTTTGAATCAAGTAAGATACTGATGAATAAAAATTCTCAAACTCTGGGTTATTTTTAGTTGCTATGCACTTTTGTTCTCTTCATCATTTACATCTTTAAATTTTAATTTTTTAAATTATATTTTCTTCATCCTTTTATGTTTTCTTTTTGTATATAGTTCATCATATCTGGAATTCACTGCTATAGTACCTGATACTTTAATGATAATGATACCCTGAAATTGACAATTTTCTACTAATTATCAAGTTATTGAAAATACCAATAGTTATTAGCTTTTAAGAAATATATGAATTTAATAGGAAAAATTTGACTGAATTTTTGACTCACTAAATTTGTTTCAAAATATTATTGAGGCATCAAAATAAAAATCAGCAGTGTGCTTATGCATTTGTCTTTACATAAATAATTTATACCCCATAATATGAGAAATTTCAGAACATAACGAATGGGCATGTCCCGAAGATTTTATGCATATGCCATTTATGCTACTGAGTGGGATGATTTTCTCCCATTCACCACAGCTGATGTTGTCTTGACTATTGTGGAATTGCTTTCATTTTAAATAGCACATTCATAAAACAAAATATAATCATTATATTCAATTTTTATGTAAGTCCTCTTTTAATGTTTACAAAAAAAAAAAAAAAGAAAAAATAAGCCAAACGCAACCAATGAAAACTGTAAATGTTACCACACTCATGGAGGAAGTTAACAATGTAGGGAGCATGGTATGTGAAAAAAAAATCTGCTAAAATCCAGCAAAACTGGAGTACCCTTAAAGATTATTCTGAGTGGAGACTAGTATATGTGTCAAGAATAAAGCACAATGTTGAAAAGGTGGCTCTCATTCTTGTGCTTTTAAGCTAGTTATTAATACCTAGCATGGAAAACCAATTGGCCCTGTTCAACCAAAGCACAGTACTGAGTAGAACTTCTTATACATTTAAACTGTTGTAAACTAAATGCACATACATGGAGCATGCATTTATTTTTCTTCTGGTTATCATGTTTCATTGTTATGTTTGTAAAAAAAATTTGCTGTCCAAATGTACCAAAGTGATGAAGGATCATTTTGAATTTTGTTTTGGCTACTAACTTCAACCTTTAAATTATTGGTCATATCATGTTTGTTTTTTCTGTTTATTTAATCAACATTAATTAAACATAGGGTGCTAGATCTGTACAGGATGTTGAGATGTATTAAACTAAGATGCGTTCTGTAATCTCAGGGCTCCTACTCATCACATTGTGCTTATAAGTATATAGACTTCTTAACTCTATCCACAAATGGAGAAACTGGGCTGGCATTATCTAACTCAACTCTCACCTCTGTTCAGTAGAAATTAAAAGAGATCTCTGTTTGTGTTTTAACTTTTCTAGTAGCCACTACAAAAAGCTATGGAAATAAATGAAATTAATTGAAATCGTACGTTTCATTTAACTCTTTATATCAAAATTATTTCCATTTCAACCGAAAGTAAATAATAAAAAATTTTAGTGAGATACTTGGCATTCCTTTTTTAATACTAACTTTTCAACATTCAATATGTATTTTATATTTATAGCACATCTTAAATGGTACTAGCCATGTTTCAATGTTTTATAGCCACATGTGGCTACTGTATTGAAAAGTGCAGATTTAAATAACAGTTAACATTGATTTTACCGTTTTTATAATGCTATATCTAGATTCTCTACAGACAAAAGCCCAAAATCTAATTTTGACAAGAGCTCTATTCTTCAAAAATATTTTTCATATAGAAAGTATTTTCACAGAGTAATTTAAAGTGTTTCTTTTGTTTGTTTGTTTGCCCAATACTAGGAAAGCAAAATTTTACCTCTAGCATTCTGAATTACATTGTCATAGGGCAACTCTCTGTTTCAGAAAAACACCATGAAAAGTTTTACGATTTTAATTGACCAAAAGTCTGTTAATTTATTTTAAATATTTATCTGTAACAATAAATCTGTCAAAAGTTTCCTTATTTATACTTGTATTTTTAACTTGTGAGCTAGTTGCTGAGTTGTTTAATTAGTTATTTAGTTATACTCCATCATCTACCATCATATGACTAACATGCTATTTTTCTTTTAAAACATTTAACAAAGATGATAATTCTACATTGTGAGCATAATGCATAAATCTTTAATACCTTCTGTAGAATCTATTGACTTACTACAAAACTTTATTTAATTAGATACTAAAGAATACTGTTCACACGCTTTTAAAAATGTGGTAAAAGTCATTTGGGGGGAGTATTGGCATTCTATAAAACTAAAAAAATTATAAATTGACAGAGATATCAAAATGGCCAGGAGTAATATCTGTATTATAGGCTTAATAGTAAGAAATAGCCTAAAAATATATAATTTCATATTCTCTTAGAGCTACCAGTGTGTGTGCCTATCTGATTGGGAAGGAAATTTTTGTGAACAAGAATCCAATGAGTGTAAAATGAATCCTTGCAAGAACAATTCCACCTGTACTGACCTTTACAAAAGCTATCGGTGAGTAACATATTTTTAGCTTTCTTCATGAAATTACTTGGAGTGCTCAGTGTCCTTGGGATACATCCAGACATTATTTTCACTTTAGATACATTTAATTAAAATAACCATCCAGCAATGAAGAGCCATTTACTGACAAGATGGTGTCGCAATCATTTGAAATTTGAAAACACTGAAGGGCAGATGTCAACAAAGTATAAACAAATTTTAACTTGAAAATGCAATGTTCCAATATGGTAATGATACAAATGCATTTACTTCTTCAAAACATGTTTTTGCCATCTTAACATTGTTTTGGACCTTTCCATGCAGTATGAGAACTACCACACTCTGACAAGAAAGGAGTGAGTCCGCTAAATTAAAACTTCCAATTTTTTACTTAGAGATTATTGTGATTTTGGATTATTTTAGTAAAATTTTTGATATATTTTATAGTATAAATTTTCCACATATTCCATAATTCAATTGTATTAATTAGTTCTTAGATGAGAATTCTGAAGAAACTCCAAATAGAAATTCTGAGTAGGTGTTTATGTATTATGCCCACCTTTTAATGGAGTTGTTTTTTGCTTGTTGAATAAGTTCCTTATAGATTCAGCATATCACACCTTTATTGGATGCATAGATCGTGACTATTTTTCCCATTCTTTTTTTTTTTTTTTTTTTTTAATAGAGAAACAACAGTGGGCCCAGGGGACCGGCACTCAGCATACCAAGGACCTGCACCGGCCTCTGAGTTCCCTCAGCTTTTATTGATTATTATCTTCATTATTTCAGCAAAAAGGAATGTAGTAGGAGGGCAGGGTGATAATAAGGAGAAGGTCAGCAACAAATATGTGAACAATAGAATCTATGTCATAATTAAGTTCAAGGGAAGGTACTATGACTGGACATGCACATAAGCCAGATTTATGTTTCTCTCCACCCAAACATGTCAGTGGAGTAAAGAATAACAAGGCAGCATTGCTGCAAACATGTCTCGCCTCCCACCATAGGGCGGTTTTTCTCTGATCTCAGAATTGAACAAATGTACAATCGGGTTTTATACCGAGACATTCAGTTCCCAGGGACAGGCAGGAGACAGTGGCCTTCCTCTATCTCAGCTGCAAGATGCTTTCCTCTTTTACTAATCCTCCTCAGCACAGACCCTTTAAGGGTGTTGGGCTGGGGGACGGTCAGGTCTTTCTCATCCCAGGAGGCCATATTTCAGACTATCATATGGGGAGAAACCTTGGACAATACCCCGCTTTCAAGGGCAGAGGTCCCTACGGCTTTCCACAGTGCATTGTGCCCCTGGTTTCAGACTATATTTCAGACTATCACATTGGGAGAATACTCCACTTTATTTTTCCCATTCTGTCAGTTGTCTGTTTACTCTGTTGATAGTTTCCTTTGCTATGCAGAAGCTCTTTAGCTTAATCTTACTTGTCAATTTTTGGTTTTGTTGTAGTTGCTTTTGTGGACTCACTCATAAATTATTTATCAAGGCTGATGTCCAGAATGGTGTTTTCTAGGTTTTCTTTTAGGATTCTTATAGTCAGAGGTCTTATATTTATATATTTAGTCCATCCTGGGTTACTTTTCTGTGTATAGTAAAAGGTAAGGGTCCAGTTTCAGTCCTCTGCATATGGACAGCCAATTTTCCCAGCACCATTTATTGAATAGGGGGTCCTTCCCTTATTGCTTATTTTTGTTGATTTATCAAATATTAAATGGCTGTCAGTATGTTGCTTTATTTCTGGTTTTGCTATTCTGTTCCACTGATCTGTGTGTCTGTTATTGTTGTTGTTTTACCAGTGCAATGCTGCCATGCTGTTTTTGGTTACTGTAGACTTACGTATAGTTTGAAGTCAGGTAACATGATGCCTCCATCTTTTTTTATTTCCTCTCTAAGATTGCTTTAGTTATTCAATCTCTTTCTTCACTCTACGTACATTTTAGTATAGTTTTTCTCTAATTCTGTGAAAAATGACATTCGTAGGTTGATACGTTGAATCTGTGCATGCTTTGGGCATTATGTCCATTTTAATGATATGGATTCTTCCAAGCCATGAACACGGGGTATTTTTTCATTTGTTTGTGTCATTACTGATTGCTTTTAGCAGTGTTTTGTAGTTCTCCTTGTACAGATCTTTCACATCCTTGATTAGATGTATTCCTTGCTTTTTTGTTTGTTTGTTTGTTTTTTGTTTTTGGTGTGTGTGCTATTGTAAATGAGATTTCATATTGTAAATGGATTCTGGATTTGGCTCTCAGCTTGAATGTTATTGGTGCATAGAAATGTTACTGATTTGTATACATCGATTTTGTGTCCTGAAACTTTGAGCCTTTTGGTGGAGTCTTCAGCATCTTCTAGGTGTAGAATCATATCACCAGTAAGGAGAGATAGTTTGACTTATTTTGTTCCTTTTTGGATACCTTTTATTTATTTCTCTTGCCTGATAGCTCTGGCTCGGACTTCCGGTACTGTGTTGAATAGAAGTTGTGAGGCTGGGCTTGTTCCAGTCCTCCAGGGGAATGCTTGTAGACTTTGCCCATTTAGTATGATGTTGGCTGTGGGTTTACCATAGATGGCTCTTATTATTTTGAGATATGTTTCTTAGATACCTAGTCTATTTAGGATTTTTAGCATGATGTTGAATTTCATAGCAGAATTTTCCACTTCTATTGGGATCATCATGTGTTTTTTGTTTTTAATTCTGTTTATGCAGTGAATCACATTTATTGATTTGTGTTTGGTGAAACAGTTTCATCCCAGGAATGAAGCTTAGTTGGAGAATTAACTTTTTGATGTGCTGCCATATTAGGCTTCCTAGTATTTTGTTGAGGGTCATAAGGTGTATTGGCCTGTAGTTTTCTTTTTGTGTTGTATCTTTTCCAGGTTTTGGTATCTCGATAATACTGGTTCATAGAGTGAATTAGGGAGGAGTTCCTTCGACTTCATTTTTGTTTTTTTTTTTTTTTTGGAAGAGTTACAGTAGAATGGGTACCAGCTTTTCTTTTTACATCTAGTAAAATTTGGCGTGAATCCATCTGGTCTGGGGCTTTATTTAGTTGGTAGGTTGTTTTTTTAAAATTACTGATTCAATTTCAAAACTTGGTGTTTTCAGGATTTCAATTTTTTTCTCATTCAATCTTGAGAGGTGGTGTGTTACCAGGTATTTACCCATTTCCTTTAGATTTTCTAGTTTATGTGTATGGAGGTGTTCATAAGGGTCTCTCAGAATCATTCTACTTCTGTGAGATCAGTTGTAATGTCACCTTTGTCATCTCTGACTGTACTTATTTGGATCTTCTGTCGTTTTTTCTTTGTTAATGTAGACAGTGGTTTATCAATCTTGTTTATGCTTTCAAAAAACCAACTTCTGGTTAAGTTGATTATTTCCCTGGATTTTGGGGTCTTAATTTTGTTCAGTTCTGCTCTGATTTTAGTTCTTTTCTTTTGCTAGGTTTGGAATTAGTTTGCTCTTATGTTTCTGGTTTTCCAAGTATGATATTGGATCATTAGTTTGATATCTTTCTGACATTTTGAGATACGCATTTAACAAGTGCCCCATAAACATATGAAAAAAATGCTCAACATCATTAATCAGAGAAATCCAAATCAAAACCGCAATGAGACAACATCTCACACACATCAGCATTGTTATTATTAAAAAGTTAAAAAACCAACAGATGCTGATAAGGCATTGGAGAAAAGAGAACGTTTAAACACTGTTGTTGGGATATAAATTAGTTCAGCTACTGTGGAGAGCAGTTTGGAGATTTCTCAAAAACTTAACATAGAACTACCATTTCACCCACCAATCCCATTACTGGGCTTATATCCAAAAGTAAATAAATCATTCTACCAAAAAGATACATGCACTCATGTAGTCATCTCAGCGCTACTCACCATAGCAAAGACATAGAACTAACCTAGGTTCCCATCAACATGGGATTGCATAAAGAAAATGTGGTTCATATACACCATGGACTACTATGCAGCCATGAAGAAGAACAAAGTCATGTTCTTTGCAGCAACATGGATGTAGCTTGAGGCCATTATTCTAGGTGAATTAATACAGAAACATAAAACCAAATATCATATGTTCTCACTTATAAGTGGAAGCTAAACACTGGGTACTCGTGGACATAAAGAGGGCAGTAATAAACACTGGGGAATTCTAGAGTGGGAAGGGAAGGAGGTAAGTATGGGTTGAAAAACTGACTGTTGGATACTATGCTCACTACCTGGGTGATGGGATCATTTGTACCCCAAACTCCAGCATCATGCAGTATATCCATGTAACAGTTGCACATGTACTCCCTAAATCTAAAATGATGCATACACATGAAAAAGAAATTCTTAGTAGCTATTGCTATTATTCCAAAAGCTTAATAACCACGTATATATTTGTAAATTTTTTTTTTGAGGCAGACTCTCACTCTGTTTTCCAGGCTGGAGTGCAGTGGCATGATCTTGGCTCACTGCAACCTCCACCTCCTGGGTTCAAGTAATTCTCCTGCCTCAGCCTCCGAGTAGCTAGGATTACAGGTGCCTGACACCATGCCTGGATAATTTTTGTATTTGTAGTAGAGATGGAGTTTCACCATGTTAGCCAGGCTGGTCTCGAACTCCTGATCTCAAGTGACCTGCCCGCCTCAGCCTCCCAAAGTGCTCAGATTATAGGCATGAGCCACCATGCCCTGCCCTTGGTAAATAATTTTTAATCCTAGATTTGTTTGGCATACATTGCATCTCTTATGTAGATGCATAATCAAGTATATCATAACTAAATCCTTTTCTTGTTCAGAAGCAGATGAATTGCATACAAACACACTCAGATGATTATTTTACAAAGGAAAATGTTAAAATTATTTCAGAATGTCCTCCAAAATAAATCATACATTCTCTTTTGCCTTGTGATTAAGGTTGAGAATTCTGGATTATCTCATGCCTGTAAAACTTTTCACAAATGTTTCTAATTTTTTGGTGATTAAAGTGGGTTATAAGGTGCAGACTGTTCAACAGTAGGCAGTTTGCTTTATTAAATTGAATTCCACAATAGCTGGCAATAATGGCATAGATACTATGTGACAAAAAAAAGATAAATAAATAATTTTGGTAATATAGGAAAACTCACAATGCCAGTAGTTAGGATTAGTTAAAGATATATAAAAATAAAAAGACCCAGAGACATTTTTGTGACATTAGCAATTAGTAAGTTGATGTATGAACACAAATTGATATTAATAACCTTTCCACCTGTATATTAGGAGAAATAATAAACTTTTGATGAACTAAAAACATAATATTAATTGTTATCTGTTTTATTTTTCTTACATTAATTAATTATAACCTATAATATGTACTATAAATTTTCTAGTATTTCTTTCATTGAGACTCTGATATATCCTTTTTTTGGCATTTAGCTCTTCCTATAATTTCTTAAGATAACTTGTATATGCGTTTCTGTATGTGTGTGTTGATGCTGTTGGCAGTCACCAGACAAACACCACTGGGAACACACCTAGGGTTGCAAAAGTTGGGTTTATAACTCATTGCAACAAGGGAGAAAACACATCATGTAGATCCACAGGGATATCTAAATAAAAGGATGTTAGAAAGGACTTACCGACTTGAGCTTGCTACTTGTATTTTGGGGGATGGTTTCAAAGAGTGGGTCTTTGCTCTGGATAAGTTGTCAAGAAGGGAGCAGAATTTTATTATTAGGTTTATGGTAAGTCTTACCTAGGAGGATGGAGGAAAAGACAAGAAAGAAGTGAAAGCCAATGTTTTCAAAAGAGGTAGCAATTACTTATATTAGCCATGACAGGGGATTGTTTTGTTAGTCTTTTGTTTGGGTGATGTTCCTGGTTTTGTCTCTATTTGATATGATTATAAGTTAGCCTAGTTTTTGTGATCTCTCATTTGCATAGATTAGCCATGTCTGATACTGATGTTCTATGAAATTGTTGAAATGGTCATCAGAAGAACACTTACACCTAGCTCTAAACCTGCTTTATACTATATGGCTAGCTCCTGAATATCCTGGCTATCAGAAGCTACTTTGCTCCTTCCCAAAACAATGTCTTATACATATGAGTTAAATACACGTGTGTATGTGTGTGTGTGTGTGTGTATGAAATACATCACTTATGTTTGTCCACCTATTGGTTCAAAATATTCTTATATATCCCAACAAAATGAGAGGACTCAAATATTAATTTATTGTCCAACATGGTATTAATTTTATTTAAATAAAAGTATCGCATTTGATATAGACGTCATAAAAATTGAAAACAAAATAAGCAACATCTACAAGGCTTAATTCAAAATACTTTAATATTCATGATACATAATCAGTCTTTCTAGATAACCCTGACATGGCTTATTGTGAACTCCTAGTGATTTAAATGTATAAATGTTTCAGGAGATTTTGTTACCTAAATTAAGACAAACTCTTAGTCATTTCATCATTCCTAAGATTTTTGATATATTATTTGCTTTATTTATTTTCATATTTCAGATATTTGTTGCATTTTATCTGGCTATAAAATTTAAAGTTTAGCTGAATCAGATTTTCTGAATGTGCTTCTCCTTTGTGATTATAAAGATAATGTATTAATATGAACATTATATTCATATTGGCTTTTCTAGATTGTAAAGAGAAAAGAGCAGTCACTAAATATGCTATATTAATGAGATGAGCATAATGTATGTATTCCATATGTTGCATATAAATAGGATGACTTACAACTTAGGAATTTCCTTACCTAGTTATCTTTCTAAATAATAATTTTATTGAGACATAATTAACACACCATACAATTCACCTTTTTAGGTGTACAATTCAGTACAATAGTCCCCCTTTACTATTCCAAGGGAGATATGTTCCAAGACCCCCAGTGGATGTCTGAAAATCAAAGATAGCACCGAACTCTATACAGGGTTACACATATCCCTTAACTTACAATAGGGTTATTTTTCTGATAAACCCATTGTATATTGACAAAAATTGTAAGTTGGAAATGTACTTGTAAGTATTTAATATACTTACTGAATATCATAGCTTATCCTAGCCTCCCTTAAACATGCTCAGAACCTACATTAACTTACCGGTGGAGAAAAACACAATTCCTATTTTATAATAAATTATTGAATATCTCATGTAATTTATTGAATACTCCACTGAAAGCAAAAAAACATAATTGTTGTAAGCGTACTTGAAGTGTAGTTTCTACTTAATGTAAATTGCTTTTATCCCATTGTAAAGACAAGACATCACGTCAAACCAGTTGGGGACCATCTATATATAAATTATGTATTTTTCTATATATAACTATGGTGAAGTTTAAATATAAGTTAGGCACATTAAGAGATTAACAACAATAACTACTAATTAAATAGAAAAATCATAACATACTGTAATAAAAGTGTGTCAATGTGGTCTCTCTCTCTCTCTCTCTCTCAAAATATCTTATTATACTATATTCATCTATTTTTAGAGCATGGTTGACTGCTGGTAACTGAAACCAGAAAGCAAAACCATGGAAAAGGAGAGAACTACTATAGATTTAGTAGATTCGTAGAGAAGTACAAGGATCACCACTATCTAATGTTAGAATACTTTTATTATTCCAAAGGAACTCATACCATTACCATAGCCTCTCCCCATTTCCTTCTTCCCCCTTGAAATAAATAAAGTCCCCCTAATCGACTTTCTATCTCTAGGATTTGTCTGTTCTGGACATTTCATATAAATGGAATCATGCAATATATGTTTTTTGGTGACTGGTTTGTTTGACTTAGCATAATATTTTCAAGACTTATGTCATAGCAGTTATAAGGACTTTGTTTCTTTTTTATGGCCAGATAACATTACATCATAAAGTTACAGCAAATTTGTTTATTTTTCAGCTGATAAACATGTTGATTATTACAACTTTTTGACTATTATGAATAACGCTGCTATAAACATGTGCAATACATGTCCAGACATATATTTTCAATTATTTTTCATATAAAACTAGAGTAGAATTGCTGGATCATAGAGTAACTCTGTGCTTAACTTTTAGAGGAACTTCCAAACTCTTTTCCAAAGTGAATGTATAATTTTTGCAGTACCACCAGCAGTGTATGAGAGTGTCAACTTCTCCACATCTTGCCAATATTTGTTGATGTTTGTCTTTTTAACCCTTCTAGTAGGTGTGAAATGGTATTTCAATGCACATTTGATTTTCATCTCCCTAAGGACTAATAATACAGCTCATCTTAACATGTGCTTTCTGACCTCGTGTATCTCTTTTTGGGAGAATATCTCCTCATATCATTTGCTCATTTGGGAATGGAAGTTATGTACCTTTTATCTTAGTTGTAAGAAATTTTATATATTTTGGATACAAGCCAATTATCAAATATGATTTGCAAATATTTTCTTCCATTATGTGAGTTATCTTTTTCTTCATGGTGTCCTTTCAGGCACAAACAATTTTAATTTTGAGGACAACCAATTGACTCATTTTCTTTTGCCACTTTTGCTTTTCATATCATAGCTAAGAAATTGTTGTCTAACTGAAGATTACAATAATTTTATTTCTGTATTTTCTTCTATAAACTTTATATTTTTAGCTCTTATATTGAGATATAATCCATTTTGAGTTAGTTAATTTTTATGTGTGTGGTGTGAGGTAAAGGTCTAGCCTCATTCTTCTACACATGAATATCCAGTTGTCTCAGGATAATTTCTTAAAAATACTATTCTTTCCATATTAAATTATCTTGGTAACTTTAACATGAATTAGACAAACTTGTAAGGATTTCTAGACCCTCTATTCTATTTATCTTTATTCTAATACCACACCCTCTTATTGTAGCTTTTGGTAAGTTTGAAGTCAGGAAATATGAATCCAACTTATTTTTTTGTTCCATCATTGTTTTGCTAAACTGGGATCCTTGTACTTCCATATGAATTTTAGTATCAGCTTGTTACTTTCTGAAGAAAATGGCAGCCATAACTTTAATAGAGATTTTATTGAATCTTCTTTAATTTCTTTCAATAATATTTTATTGTTTCCTATGTATACTTGTACTTCTTAGAATCTATTCTTAAGAATTTGAATCTTTTTATGTTATTAGAAATGGAATTGTCTTCATGCCATTTTCAGATTGTTCTTTGCTAGTGTATAGAGACAGCACTGATTTTTGTATATTGATGATGTATTTTTCAACATCAGTAAACTTATTTATTAGTTATAATAATTTTTGGTCGATTCCTTAGGATTTTTAATATCTGATAATGGAGACAATTTTGCTCCTACCTGTCCAATATTGATACGTTTTTTTCTGTTTTATGTTTAATTATCCCAACAACTTCCAGTACAATGTTGAACTTAGAAATGACAGACTAAATATGCTTGTCTTGTTCCTGAGCTTAAAAGAAAATCAAGCAGTCTTTCACCATAAAGTATGATGTTAGCTGTAGATTTTTCATGGGACACTTTACCAGATTTTGGACATTCCCTCCTGTTTCTGGTTTGTTGAGTGTTTTTTTTGTTTTGTTTTTTATAAAATGTGTTGAATGTTTTCAAATGCTGTCAATGAAGCTGTTTATATGTGTAATTTGTCTTATATTCTATTAATATTGTATATTGCATTTAGTGGTTTTCTATTTTAAAACCAACCTTGCAGAACTAATATATGTCCCAATTGGTCATAATGTATATTTCTTTGTATATGTTGCTGAATTCCATTTGCTAGTACTTCATGAAGGAATTTGGGGTCTGTATTCCTAAGGCATATTGATCTGTATTTTTCTTTTTTTGTCATATCTTTGACTGGATTTAGACTGGGTAATATTAGCCACATAGAACATGTTAAGAATTTTCCCCTTCTCTTTTGGAACAGTTGCAGAAGGATTGGTGTTCATTATTCTGTAAACATTTGGTAAAGTCACTGGTAAAGCAATCTACTCATGTACTTATTTTGTGGAACACATTTTTATTACTAAATCTCTTTGCTTATTGTAAGTTTATTGATATGCTATACTTTTTTTGGGTTACTTTCCGTGGTTTTACCTTTCTGTAAAGTTATCTATTTCATTTAGCCTTTATAATTGGTTAGCGTGTAATTGTTTAGTATTCTCTTTGAATCCTTTTTTGTTTTTGGAAGAGTGTAGTATTTTCTTCTCTTTCATTTCTGATTCTTGTAATCTGGGTCTTCTCTGTTTTTTCTTGATCATTCTAGTTAATGGTTTTTCAGTTTTGGAAAGTACCAGTTTTAGATTTCATTGTGTTATTCTATTGCTTTTTTATTCTCTGCTTTATTAATTTATGCTTTAATTTTCATTATGTTCTCCTTCCTTTTGCTATGAATTTAGTTTTCACTATTGAATACAAAGTATAACTATTACAAATAGCATATAGTTGAACAATTTTTTCATTAAGCACATTCTGCCATTATTTGTCTTTTGATTGGAATGTTCACTCAATTTGCACTTACTGTAATTACTGATAAGGTAGAGTTTACTTCTGCTATTATGCCATTTGTTTTCTATATGTCTTCTTCTCTTTTGCTGCTGCCTTCTTCCATTATTGCCTTACTTTGTGTTAAATAGATATTTTTTTCTGATATACCACTTTAACACCCTTGTTACATTTATTGTATTATTTAGAAAATTTTTAATGGTTGACCTATAGATTATAAGTAACCTCTTAAGATAAAGCAATTACACAGCATTAATAGCAACTTATTTTTAACACTGTGCAAAAATATTGCTCCACCATTGCTCCCCTTTTTTTACTCCCTTGTTTTATTATTGTGATACAAATTATATCTTATACATTATAAGCCCATCAACAAACTGTTATAATTATGGTTTTATGCTCCATCTTTTAAATCATATACAGAGAAAAGAGTTATGAACAAAACATATTTATACTGGTTTTAATATTTACTAATATAGTTACCATTACTGGATCTCATGATTTTTATGTGTGAATAATTAAGATTCTATAGTTTCTTTTCATTTTAACCTAAAGGACTATCATTACTATTCTTTATATGTTAGTCTGCTAGTTATGAAATCTTCCTGTTCTTGTTTATCTGAAAATGTCTTAGTTTCTGCTTTAATTTAGAAGGTAGCATTGTAGGATATAGAATTCATGGTTGATAGTCTTTTTTTTTCTTTTAGCACTTCAAATATATCATTCTGCTGCTTTCTTATCTACATGGTGGCTTCTGATGGGAAGTCAATTGTTATTCTTATGAGGATCCTTGTATGTAATAAATCACTTTCTTTCTTGATGCTATCACTATTATCTCTTTGTGTTTTACAGTTTGACTATCATGATTAACTTTCAATCTCTTTCAATTTATTCTACTTTGAGTTTGATGAGGTTCATGGATGTATAGATCAACATTTGTTCATAATATTCAGAAAGTTTTGGCCATTAATTTTTCAAAGCATTTATCTATCCCTTTTCCTTTTGGAACTCATATGTGAGTAGATCTCTGAGGATCTACTCATTTATTTATTTTTTTTCTGATGATCCTCAGACACAATTATCTTAATAAACTTATCTTTATGTTCACTACTTCTTTCTTCTGCCAAATTAAGTCTCTTGTTTTGCTCAGTTAGTAATTATTTTATTTTTTCCAATAACTTTTTTTTTTTAATATACTTTAAGTTCTGGGATACATGTACAGAATGTGCAGGTTTTTTACATAGGTCTACATGTGCCATACACATGCCATGGTGGTTTACTGCACCCATCAACCCATCATTTACATTAGGTATTTCTTCTAATGCTATCCCTCCACTATCCCCCTGACCCCCCAACAGGCCCTGGTGTGTGATGTTCCCCTCCCTGTGTGCTCATTGTTGAACTCCCACTTACGAGTGAGAACATGCAGTGTTTGGTTTTCTGTTCCTGTGTTGGTTTGCTGATAATGATGGTTTCCATTTTCATCCATGTCTCTGCAAAGGACATAAACTCATCCTTTTTTATAGCTGCAGAGTATTTCATGCTGTATATGTGCCACATTTTCCTTATCCAATCTATCATTGGTGGGCATTTGGATTGGTTCCAAGTCTTTGCTTTGTGAACAGTGTTGCAATAAACATACGTGTGGATGTGTTTTTATAGTAGAATGATTTATAATCCTTCAGGTATATACCCAGTAATGGGATTGCTGGCTCAAATGGTATTTTTAGTTCTAGATCCTTGAGGAATCGCCACACTGTCTTCCACAGTGGTGCAACTAATTTACACTCCCACCAACAGTGTAAAAGCATTCCTATTTCTCCACATCCTCTCCAGCATCTGTTGTTTACTGATTTTTAATGATTGCCATTCTAACTGGCGTGAAATGGTATCTCATTGTGGTTTTGATTTGCATTTCTCTAATGACCGGTGATGATAAGCTTTTTTTCATATGTTTGTTGGCCACATAAATGTCTCCTTTTGAGAAGTATCTGTTCCTATCCTTTGCCCACTTTTTGATGACGTTGTTTTTCTCTTTTACATTTGTTTTTCAGTTTTTATAATTTCCAACTCTGGAAATTCTATTTGTTTTTTAATTTTTTAATAATTGCTTCCTTTATTTTTATTACTGATTTGGTAAGACATCAATCTCCTACTTTCCTTAATTGATTATATAATAGTTTATATTTCCCTTTGAACAAGTTTACCATAGCTGACTTAATATATTTGTCAAGTAAATCCAATATTCGGGTGTCCTCAAAGGCAGTTTCTATTTACTGGTTTTATTTCTGTGCATGGCCCATACTTTTATTTCTTTGTATGTCTTATAATATTTTCTGGTAACTTGACATTTTAAATAGCATAACTTGGTACATCTGGAAATCAAATCTTGCTCTTTCCTAGTAGCTAGTGTTTTTGTTTTTGTTGTTTCTACTATTTGTCTAGTGTTTCACTGGGATTGTTCTTTACCATGTGTGGCCATTTTAGTCTCTGCTTGATTAACTTAGTGGTCAGCTAAAATGAATCATTTCACAGAGATTTTTCTTAGATTTTTGGAACTAAAACATCTTCCAGCCTTTACTAAAGGACTCTGTGTGTGTGTTGAGACATGTCTTCAATGCTCAGCCAGGCAGTTTACAACTGTACTTTATTCTTTACTTCCTGCTTGTATAGAGCCTCAAGGTTAGTCAGAGATCAGAGATTAGGGCTGTTTATATCTTTCTTAGGCCTGTTTATAGACTTGCATGCTGTGATGTTTTCTAGTTTTCCAGGATTTTTTCTAGCTTTCAAAGACTTCTAGGTACATCTAATTCCCGAGTTATTAAATCTTTGATTATATTGATCAACCTAGAGTTGCCCTCAACTGGAATTATTGCCTCAAACACTGTGATATTAAGCAATTGCCACTGATTATTTTTAACAAATTCCCTAGATATATGGTTTTTTATAAGAGTGAATTTTTAGTCAGGTCAAATAAAGTCAGTCCCTGAGAATGGAGTTTTTCAGAGTGCTGTCAAACCAATGAAATAGTGACATTCCTTGGGAAGGGTCTTTTGAGTCAAATGCATACCTGTACTATCCCCTCCCCCTCCACTGGCTATTAGGTTGCTGGTTTCTCAGCTACCATTATTGCAATGATATTGGATTTCAAGTCCATTGAAGAGCTGGGGAGAGAGGGATGGTTGTTTACAACCACGAAGCTGATTAGGCTTATGAGATTCAATCATTTTTCTTGAATAAACACGGAGATTGTTTCAAGCCTTTAGTTCATTTACACAGTTCTGAAACAGCTTATTTTAACTATATTTATCAATGTACAAGTTTCTTTTATGGAAGAGTGTATGTTTGACTAGTTCTTCCTCTGCTATTACAGAAATGATTCTATCAAGTTATATTTTATTTTCATCTTATTGGGGAGAAGGAGAATAAATATGGGTTCTACAATCACAGTGTCTGCAGTGTCTGCATATTAAGTTTGATTCTGTCTCTAAGGGTTTGTGTGAATTGGGATAAGTAAGTTTACATTACATTTGCAAGCTTCCAGTTTCCTTAGCTAGAAAGTAGAATCAACAATAGTAATGTCTCAGGGTTATGGTGATAAATAATATTCTGTCCACAAAGTTTTAGTTAACTTTTTTATATATAGTTCACTGTAAATATCATTAGTTTTTATTATTTAAAACATTGATCTTGTTTTCAAAAATATATGCATAGATAAGATTAGTGTGGCATCTTATAAATGATGAATCTTTTTAATCATCTGGATATCAACTAATTCCATTTTATATATTTATATGTACAACAAATGAAGAACACTAAAAAGAGATTATTTTGATCATCTCTTTATAATTTTGAAAAACTTTATTTGATTAAAGCTTAAGGTTCTTTGTAGCTTTCCCACAAATTTCCACTGATCAAAACTTTAAGGAGTCTCAGTGAAGGATACATGAATATCCTATTTAACTTTGTGAAGAGTTATTCTAATAAAATATTATAAACATTGTAAAGAAGAGTCTTAAATTTTATGCTATTTGAAGAAAATTATATACCATAATGAACACTTAAAATTGCATATTTTAATAGATCAAATTAGAATTGCATTTCATGGACCATATGCTTATATTCCTTGAGAAAAAAATTAGATAAATGAACGTCTGATGGAATATCAAATCTATTTAGCTGATTTGTGTGTCCTAAGTTACTGAACTACCTATATGTGCTCATCTCTCTAAACAACTGGAGTTAACATAGTTTAGTGTTTACACAGTTTCAAGACATTAAAAAGCAAATTGGGCTAGCGATGTAATTTGAATGCTGACTGCAACCTGCCTTCTGCTATTCCTGGCATGGTTTAAAATTTAACTGCCTTCTTTATTTCTGATTTTTCTTCCCCCAAAGCAGAGTCAACAGCTTTAGCTACAGATGGGGCTCTGTATGGCCATTATTGGACCCAGATGCCACACTCTGGAGCATGTTTTGCCAACAGCATCTGGCTCTTTGCTGCCTGTGCAGTTGGCATTTGTGTTGATGCTTTGGCCTGCTTTTCTTATGGACACTACAAAGCTGACTTTCAGACAACGTGAAGGTTTGCTCCCAGATGACTGTAAGCATTTTTTTCCTTAGTTTGTCTTTTATGAGTATTTAAATAAATACCTTAAATCATGAAGCACTATGCATTAAAATTTTCATCTCTTATAAAAATGTTTAAAAATTTTTAATGGATATAATAACTGAAAAAGTCTGACATTTAATAAGTTAAAAACTTGTGATTATTTATGTATATCTTAACACATCAAATAAAAACTATGAAAGTTTTAATGTGTTACCAGAGATATTGTTTTGCTTTTTTTTTTTTTTTTTTTTTACCTTATTTATGCATAGAAGTCCTAAGTGCTAATATAAAAGCAAAGCCATGACAAAATTTTAGTTCAGGCAATAGCAATCTATGGCACAATATCTATCTTTAAGAGTTAAAAGATTTTTCCTTCACAAAAACCGGAGGTTTGAACAAAATATGTGTGGGTAGGTAGATCACTCATCCTCTTATGGTATAGCTACACTGTAGTTTACAGATATAACAGACACAGGGAATTTTTAATATTTTACAATTATAATCTATTATTTGAGGAATTATATATGCCTCTGTATATATGTGTGCATGTTTATTTGTAGAATAAATTACTATAAGTGTAATTGCTGGATCAAAGTGTGTCTACATTAAATATTCGAGTAGTTTTTATCAAATTATCTTTTGGACAGATTCAGTAAATTCACACAAGTAATTAAAGCAATTATCTATAGCAGACACTTACAGTTTGTATCATTTTGTTCTTGAGCAAATCTCTTAGTCAGATTTTATTTATGTTTATTTTATATATGAAAGAACAAAAACTTAGATATTTTCCGTAACTTATGCAGAAATCACAGTGTTAAAAAGTAGTAAATCTAAATACCAGAACAAGACAGGTGTGACTCCACATCAATGGTTTGAGATCATCATCATCTGATCCTGCTTATAGTATATAATCATACATACGTTGCCAGTGGCAACATATGTTGATATGTATGATATCTCTCAGTTCCCAAGGTTTAACAAATTTGTGAAAGACTAAATAATTATTATTTTCTCACTGGAAAAGTTGGAACCTCATGTAGTTCAAATTTTATCAAAAAGGAGTAACTCAGGAGTTAAGTATACTTTCTTTGACAGATAAATACATCCTACCACCAATTATTGGTCAAATAATTATTGTACAAATAGGCCTTAGAACTAACTGATTAAGTAAAATTGCTTTTTGATAACAGTAGCACAAAGGAAGAAAAGGGGAAAGCACAGTATCTTGTTGTAAGGCTATTATGTTTTACAGGAAGTGGCATATTATTTGAAGACAGGCAGTGATAAACAGAAAAGGTATTAAAGACCTTATTTTGAATGAATAAATGAACTCTCTTATTTCACCAAAACTGAGTTGAAAGAATGGAGGAAGAGACAGTTTTATCAGGCATCATAGTAATTGTAAAAAGCTCCCTGTATACCTTCTGTATTACTTTGCCGGGACAATCTTTGGCATCCCTTGGCTTCTGAAGAATCACCCTCATCTCAGCCTTCAATTTTTGTAGTTTTCTTCCTGTGTGAGGGCCTATCTCTGTGTCAAAATTTCCCCCCTTTTTAAAAGACAGTGGTCCTATTGAATTAGTTTCCACCCTAATGGATTCACTTTCATTTGAATATCACTGTAAATACTCTATTTTCAAAAAAGGCCACATTTTGAGATCCTGGTGATTAGGACCTCAAGGTCTTTTGGGGAGATACAATTCAACCCCAACACCTTCTGATGTCTCCTGAGTGCAGTTATGAAAACATATCTTACGGTTATTGAAGCCCAGAAGATTATAATTTAGCATAGCCATACATAAAATCTTTAAATTTTATTCACAGAACTGCATAGAAACATATTCAAAGATAATTTTGCTTGTTTAGAGGTGTAGTTAGAAAAAAATCATTCCGTATTAGGTTATCTCATTATTTCACATAGAACCATAATACCAGGTTCAGATTAAAAGTGTTGCCTTATTATTTGTCAATTAAAAATAAACTAAAATTAAAAAAAAATGGACTTTTAAAAAGTACTATATCTAAGAATAGATTTTGCTTGTTTTCTTCTTTTTTAACATTTGTTTTTAAAGATGATGAATTGTTTTAATGCAAAGTACTAGAAACTGTAAAATTTAAGAAAAATGTAAAAACATAATACCATGAAACAAAACCAGAATGATGCAGACATATTCAGCAATGGCTCATTAGAAATGAATTGAAAGCCATTAGTTACTGTTTGTTTCAGATTCAATGTTGCATGGGAGGGCAATGACCATGACTATAACAAACACAAAATGTGAAATTTAGGATTATGGTATTTGTGAGTAAAATTATTTGTATTGAACTGTGGAAGAAAGGTAATCACATATGGAAATAAAGGAAAAATGTACATGAGAATATTATTTGCTGCAAAATCTGTATTTTCTTTTTTTGAAAGATAATCAAAATTTGATATTAAGTTCTTAAAAAAATGATATAATTAAGGTCCTGCATTTTTCTTATGTTTTGAAGTAGACTTTTTCCCTTACTCTTTCTTTTTATGGGGAAGGGGGAGGCAATGTTTTTAGAGAAATAGACTTTTCATAAGGTATTCAATAGCTTTTGGACATTTTTTATTGTGATTACACATAATAAAATGCAAAGATTTTACATATACAATTTAAGGAGTTTTGGCAATTGCACTTACTTGTGTAACTACCACTGAACCCAAAATATAGAACTTATCCATCACCCTAGAAAGTTTTCTTGTGCCCCATTCACAGTTCATTTCCACCCTCTTATACCCTATTTGTTGGGCTTTTGAAAATTTTCCTTTTGTAATAATTTCTGATAAACTATTTCAAAACATCGATACTTTTTTTCAGCATGAGAAATCTTTAAATGTAAATTAAATTATCTATTTACTATGTTTATCTTAATAAAGGGGTTTCATAGAAACTTTTAATTTGACTTTTATTATAACTATGGCCAGATGATATACTGATATTATTTATGTTTGTTTCTTATATGAGGATATAAAAAAATTATATAGATCAGTTGGCTTTTCAAATGACATGTTATTAGCAGAAGAGATATAGAATTTAGGACTTCTTACACCAGAACCCTTAAGATTTGACATTATTTTTTATTGTCACCTGTAACTCCTTGCCAAATCAGTGATGAAAGGGTTGTTCAGTGTTGTGGTTTTTCTTATGCTGGGGAGTTTTGACATAAATTTAATGGTAAAAAGTTTTATTTCTGTATTTGTTATTCTAAATTGTTTCAGTCTATAGAATTGATCACGTAAGTAATCAATAACTTTTATTAGTGTATTTCTAGGTAAGTAAGATTTCGTATTGCTAGTTTGATTTAGGGATATTTCTTTTCTTGTAGAGGGCTTTCTTCTCAGATCAATGTTGTTTTGCTCAATAATCTGTGGGTATTTCCAATGCATGCCCCGAGTAACTATCAGCTTTCAAAATGATAAGCCAGCTGACAAACAAAAAGAGCTCACATAAAACTAAGGAATCCATTTTATGTGTTTCTCCTAGATCTGTGTCTAGAGCACATTATTCGAGCTAATAATCCTTTTTTTTCCACACAAAGTTAGCATGTTACATTTTGCCTTCAATTTTCATGCAGAATCAGTTTAAAAGATGTGCATTTGAACATTTCTATACCTATTGCAAAGCCATACATCAAGACATGGTCCATCATGTTTCCCAATGTCCTATACTAAAAGATTCAGCTATAAAATTCTTCTTTGACTTCAGAATGAGAAAATATAACTCTGCTTTCTTTTGTAAAAAAATCATGACGTATATCGCCTGTATAGTCTTTATATTTGCTCTTGCTTTTCACAGTAAATCACAATTAACGTATGTCTTGGTATAGGAATTCTTTACAAATACCTACATTTTAGGGTCTATCTCTTTTTCAAAGTTTTTAAACACCTTTCTTTCACCAGATGGGTAATTGGAGGCTTTGTTAGTATACCTCACCTACTTAGAAATAGCAAAATTGTGTGTAAAGATTCACACTGTGAACTTCTGTGCAAAAAGGAACACGGGAGATCAACATAAGAGTTAAAGAAAACTTTGGGCACTTAGAAAAAAAATGCAGGTAACAACTCATGTGGCAGGCTCCAGCAGAAAATTGTGAGTGAATCCCCAGTGCATGAGATAGAGA
This sequence comes from Homo sapiens, assembly GCF_000001405.40. Classification (NCBI taxonomy): domain Eukaryota; kingdom Metazoa; phylum Chordata; class Mammalia; order Primates; family Hominidae; genus Homo; species Homo sapiens. Next base: position 64,926,561 of record NC_000006.12, on the reverse strand, counting down.
GTGATTGCCTCCATGATGCACATTCCCACTGGGAAGCTGGGCAATCCAGGCTATAACGGAGATCCTTGTCCCAACCAAGCTCTGGATCTAACCTGGGGAGCCATCAGAAGTCTATGAGCAGGAACAGCCCTAGAAATTATCCTGCATGCTCTCCTAGAACTGGGCATCAATAGAATGAGGCCATTCTGTATCCTAGCTCATAGGGAGCTATGTGGAAACCTGCCAGCCAGCACAAGTGGCAGTTACTGGTCTGGAGAGTCTCAGGTCAGAGATTTATGATCTTGAGCAGGGGAGAAGCCCCTGGGGCTAGAATTGAGAGGCAAATGTGGTATGTGCTCCAGCCACAGGCACAGTACTTGGGTGCTCCCTCTTCAGAGGACATGAGTGGGTGTGGTTTTGACCCCAGCAGAAAGTTTTGTGGCCTGGGATAGGTCTGCCTGAAGGCAAACTAGGAGTGCTTTGGCTAACTGTTCTAAGTTTCTGCCAGAGTCAGACTATAGGAGGGAGCCCTCCTAGGTTGGGAGTACGAGAGCACAGCAGGTCCCACTACCACTTGCTAGTCTGTAGAGCCTGAGCCATCTCTCATTCCCCATCCTGGGTCTTAGGCCCAGCAATGATTATTCTGCTCCTCATTGGGAAGTTATTCTAGGGACCCGAGAACTGACTCCGAACCCTACTGGGGCTGGTGCTTGCACCCACCATTAGGGGCCCACATGCAGGCTCGCTTGGCCCAGTTCCCAGCTATGCTGCCTCTGTCCTCAGAGGCAAAGTGGGGGACAAGGACCACTGAATGTTCTACAACCCAACCCACCACCTGGGAACCTGAGAACTTCATTTAGATTACACCTTTGGGTGTAGATGAGAGATCATCTAGACAAGGTGAGAACATCTTACAGGAGAGAGCTAGTGACCATGCCATCTGGCTCTCACCTATAAGCACCACTTTCTGGCCTTAAGATCTACTTCATAGCCCATTTCAGTATCTGCTGACACAAGTACACAGCATTTGGGAAGGTAGCCTCATATGACCTCTGCTACCACTATTATTCACACCACCCTTGCTCATTAGGAGGCCTTGGGCCTGCTGACACACCAGGCACATCGCTACCACAATGAGCATTTGAGAAGCCACCACATGAAGACTACGTATAACCAAAGAAATCATACAGAGTCTATTCCACTGATAGAGTTTGGTTGTGCCCCATCCAAATCTCAACTTGAATTGTATCACCCAGAATTCCCATGTATTGTGGGAGGGACCCAGGGGGAGGTAATTGAATCATGAGGTCTGGTCTTTCCCGCACTATTCTTGTGATAGTGATTAAGTCTCATGAGATCTGACGGGTTTACCAGGGGTTTTCGCTTTTGCTTCTTCCTCATTATTCTCTTGCCACTACCATGTAAGAAGTGGCTTTCATCTCCCACCATGATTCTTTCTTAGGCCTGCCCAGCCATGTAGAACTATAAATCCAATTAAGCCTCTTTTTCTTCCCAGTCTCGGGTATATCTTTATCAGCAGCATGAAAATGAACTAATACAGTAAATGGTACCAGTAGAATGGGGTGCTGCTGAAAAGATACCCAAAAACGTGGAAGTGACTTTGGAACTGGGTAATAGTCAGAGGTTGGAACAGTTTGGAGGGCTCAGAAGAAGACAGGAAAATGTGGGAACGTTTTGAACTTCCTAGAGTCTTGTTGAATGGCTTTGCCCCAAATGCTGATAGTGATATGGACAATAAGGTCCAGGCTGCAGTGGTCTCAGATGGAGATGAAGAACTTGTTGGGAACTGGAGAAAAGGTGACTCTTGTTATGTTTTAGCAAAGAGACTGGTGGAATTTTGCCCCTGCCCTAGAGATTTGTGGAACTTTGAATTTGAGAATGATGATTTAGGGTATCTGACAGTAGAAATTTCTAAGCAGCAAGGCATTCAAGAGGTGACTTGGGTACTGTTAAAGGCATTCAGTTTTATAAGGGAAGCAGAGCATAATAATTTGGAAAATTTGCAGCCTGACTATGCAATAGAAAAGAAAAAACCCTTTTTCTGGGGAGAAATTCAAACTGGCTGCAGAAATTTGCATAAGTAGCAAGGAGCCTAATGTTAATGCCGAAGACCATGGGGAAAATGTCTGCAGGCCATGCCAGAGACCTTCACAGCATCCCCTCCCATCACAGCCCTGGAGTCCCAGGAGCAAAAAATGGTTTTGTGGGCTGGGCCCAGGGTCACCATACTGTGTGCAGCCTAGGGACTTGGTGCCCTGTGTCCCAGATGCTCCATCCATAGCTGAAAGTGACCAAAGTACAGCTTGGGCTGTGGCTTCAGAGGGTGGAAGCCCTAAGCCTTGGCAGCTTCCACATGGTGGTGAGCCTCTGGGGGCACAGAAGTCAAGAACTGAGGTTTGGGAACCTCTGCCTAGATTTCAGAAGATGTATGGAATCGCCTGGATGCCCAGGCAAAATTTGCTGAAGGGGCGGGGTCCTCATGGAGAACCTCTGCTAGGGCATTGTGGAAGGGAAATGTGGGGTCAGAGTCCCCACACAGAGTCCCTACTGGGGCACCACCTAGTGGAGCTGTGAGAAGAGGGCCACTATCCTCCAGACCCCAGAATGGTAGATCCTCTGACAGCTTGCACCATGTGCCTGGAAAAGCCACAGACAATGCCAGCCTGTGAAAGCAGCCAGGAGGGGGGCTGTACCCTGCAAAGCCACAGGGGCAGAGCTGCCCAACACCATGAGAACTTACCTCTTGCACCAGTGTGACATGGATGTGAGACATGGAGTCAAAGGAGATCATTTTGGAGCTTTAAAATTTGATTGCCTCGCTGGATTTTGAACTTGCATGGGCCCTGTAACCCCTTTGTTTTGGCCAATTTCTCCCATTTGGAACAGCTGTACTTACCCAATACCTGTACCCCCACTGTATCTAGGAAATAACTATCTTGCTTTTGATTTTACAGACACATAGGTGGAAGGGACTTGCCTTGTCTCAGATGAGAATTTGGACTTTTGAGTTAATGCTGAAATGAGTTAAGACTTTGAGGGACTGTTAGGAACACATGATTGGTTTTGAAATGTGAGGACATGAGATTTGGAAGGGCCATGGGTGAAATGATATGGTTTGACTATATCCCCATCCAAATCTCAACTTGAATTGTATATCCCAGAATTCCCACATGTTATGGAAGGGACCCAGGGGGAGGTAATTGAATCATGGAGGCAGGTCTTTCCTGTGCTATTCTCGTGATAGTCATTAAGTCTCATGGGATCTGATGGGTTTGTCAGGGGTTTTTCCTTTTGCTTCTTCCTTATTTTTCTCTTGCCACCACCATGTAAGACATACCTTTCGCCTCCCATCATGATTCTGAGGCCTCTTTAGCCATGTGGAGCTGTAAGTCCAATGAAACCTTTTTTTCCCCCGTGTCTAGTATGTCTTTATCAGCAGCGTGAAAACAGACTAATACAGCCACTAAACATACCCAGAAGCAAAGCCAAATGGCCTTACTCAACATACATCATAGGCACATCCTCAAGAAAAGTCCCACCCCAAAAAAAGTAAACAAGAGTAAGAAGTGTTTCTCCAGATGAGAAAAAAATCAGCATAGTAATACTGGATCTTGAATCCTAAACAAAATGAAATGTTGGGATGCTGGATAAAGAATTCAAAGTAGGTCTCTTACTCCACCTAGAGCTTGGGGTCCATCTCCACTGCTCTGTGTCCTCCGTTCCAGGAGACCCAGATGACTGTCATAGTCTCTGTTACCTTGTGACCTGCAGGTACTGGGATATCCATAGCTAAGATGCCAGGACACCCTAGAAGCTAGGGAATGAGTTAGAAAATACATTTAAAGGGATGTTGGGTCAAGATGGCAGACTAGAAGCAGTGCATTTGCACTGCTATCATGGAGAGGAAACAAAAGGGCCAGTGAATACTGGCATTTAATTTATCCTCTATTTTTTCTGGAATTCTGCCATTGGGATTCCTCTCATTTTATTAACTAATATATATCCTGAGTCTTTTATATCTCCTTAAATATTTTGTTGTATAGTAATATTTATACTTGTCTTAAAATTATCTAGCTGTAATTTTAATATGCTTGGTAAAATAATACTTATATAAGATGTCTGGCTCTTTTCATACTCATTTATTTTTACATTTACATTTGCACACAAACACAACAGTCTATTTTGCACTAATTCCTTTCTAAGTTTTTCTTATCTTTAAATTTAGTTCTTCAAAACCTTAGTATTTGTGGGAATGTGTGTGAGTCAACACAATGTCCTTGTCAATGAGAAACAAGCAGAATCTTCCCTGGCTCAGAGGAAAATATTGGTTTTTCAATTGCTTGTGTGTGAACACATATATGCATATGCATGTGTATGTGTGTGACAGAGGTGGGAGAGAGGGAGAATGGATTTATTTTTCGTCACCCCAGTGAATAACAGTAGCAACAGGACTGCTGATTTTCCTTCATGGGCCCTCAATGTTGCATGTCTCTGAAATTCCAAATTCTGCCAGTGTCTTTTCTTCTACCCCAAACACTCTTTGATGGAAAATTGGCCCAGCCTTATATTTCAAGCAAGTTTTTTTTTTTAATTTTTGTTCTTGTTTTTTAAAATTTTTCATCAGTTTCCTACTCTGAGAACTATTTTTGTGCCCTTTCTGCTGGCTTACTCCAGCAGCAGGCACCTACCTGCTCTTCATATCTGCTCTTATCTTGGTCCTTTCACAATATTTGTCATCTAATTCTTTTGTGCTTTGGCTTGGGATTATTGATAACTGTTTTATTGAGGATGAAGTTTTATTTTCTGTTTCTAATTTTCTTTGTCACATTGAGTTAGATTCAGAGAGACACAGGCACTGGTGACTTTACTTCATACTTTACAAAGATAAATCTCTTCTACTTTGAATTTATCCTTTCTTTCCATGAGTTTGAAGTTCTGGCTTAGTGAATTTTAAAGGCTTTTTGAATATCACTTGGACTCCGGCTTGACTAAGTACCAGGAAGAGTCTCATCAAGAAGCAGGATCATAGATAATAAACTTTCCACATAACCCCTGTGAGACAGGTGACCCTTTAGTGACATTTTAAAAAATAATTATTTTGCTTCTCTTTCCTTCTTTCCATTTCTCTCTTATCTCTGCTATCCTTATTTATTTCTATAGTTCCATCTGTTTTATTAAAAAATAAGACAATTTGAGTGTTATTTAAATTTTTAAGGAAGGACATGTTCTATAATTTTAAATTTTAATAAAATAATGGGTTAATAATTCTGTATGTGGAAAGATATGTTAGTGTTCATTTTCAATAGGTTTATTTTTGCATATTTTTACATCGGCTAACTGAATTTATGTTACATTTCAGAATTAATGGTGTTATATGCATATAGTCTGAACTAAGTATGTGTGATTAGTAATTAGAGTATATAGTTTTAATACATGTTACCCCTAAGGAGTATGAAACAGATATAGCATTTATTATAATGCCAGTCCTAACAAAAAAACAAAGACTATTTTGTTTCCTCATTGCTTGTAATATTTCCATATGCATAAAAATCCTTTGGCTTTTGCTAGCTCAGTTGATTTTCTTCTGAGACTTCAAGTGTAATGCTTATTAAACTGGGAGTTTAAAATGTTTCTCCATATGAAACACCTGACATGCTGAAGATTTATGAATTATTTTGTAAAATGTTTATAAATTTGTTTAAGTTCTATATCTTAGTACTTTGCTTATGTAACACTCTGTATCCTGCTTTTGTATTTAAAATTCTGCCTCCTACTCAAATTGTACCTGAAAGAATAAAAATATATGTGTAGGTATATAGGATCTTTATACATTTTAAACTGTATTTGAAAGATTATATATGCATTTTCAAGTATAATTTGAATACAATGTGTGGGTATAGGTATGGATATTATACTTGCATATACACATGCAGACATATACTTACATACATTTTTAAGCATTGAAAAAGATGCAACTATGAATTCTTCTGAATATATAAAGCATTATATTTAAAAGCAGACTTACTTGGACTTGCTACAAAGATCCTTTTTGGAAAAAAACAGGAGCCAGAAGTAATACTTACTTGCTCAGAAACTGATTCATCATCAATTTTCCGCTTACACACACACACCATTAAGGAAAAATAAAATAGAAGAAATTAAAGACAGTAACTTAAACTAGGTTTATGTTCAAAGCTAAATCACATAATTGTTCATGTTACTCATGTTTATAACACTAGTCATTTTCTTGACTCAACAGGTAAACTTACAGAATAGTAGCTTCAACTATCTTATGTAGTCAGCCTTTTTGAGCAAGTGTTGTCTTTCAGCTTTATTCAAGATGTTGTTGAAAGATTCATCTTTCAACATAAATGTCTTAGGGCTTGTTGTAGGCTTACAAAAAAATCTAAATTCTGATCATCCAAGTGGTAAAATACCCCATTCTCATGGTTTCTGTATTATGACCACAATGACAAAAAAAAAAAATGAAACTAATCTCACTATATGGCATCTCACTGTACGGCATATGTTTGGCTTTGCTGTTCTAGTCCCAGATTCAAATGTATTTAACTTTGGGTATTCTTCAAAATACAGCATGAGTTCCATCAGATTTACCTCAGATTTTAAATATGAATATACTGGAGGCGTGACCCAATGCATTATCTGCCTCTGCTTGTCTGGCATTTTAGCTTTCTTCTATGAAACGAGGAATATTCTGAATCTTGAAAAAGCCTTGAATTGTTTTTTAGAAATACTGACCTACAAAGCAGCTTGAATTAAATAACTCTGAAAAAGATTATTGACCAGTTGTCTTTTTACATGGCACAGGAGATTAAATCATATAGAATATTGGAAACAGATAATTTGAAGAGAATTATATCAAGGAATTATCCATACAGTTCATTTACATCAAAATGTATGAAAAATATAGATTATAATTCTTCCAATTGAAATAATTGACTTATAAATTATGTGTATAAATAAATTATATGTCTGAATTTATTTTTTTGAAAAAATATATGAAATGATGCTTGATGGCCTAAATAGAAGAAATCCTTTTTCTATTAATATTAAAACAGAAATTCTTGAGTTCATTTAGAATACATACTCCATAAACTTCAGCCTCACAAAAAAAAAAAAAAGAAAAAAAGAAAAACATAAAAAAGGAAGGTTTGCCCAGCCTGACCAACATGGTGAAACCCTGTTTCTACTAAAAATACAAAAAATAGCCGGGTGCGATGGCAGGGCTGTAATCCCAGCTACTTGAGAGGCTGAGGCAGGAGAATCGCTTGAACCCGGGCAGCAGAAGTTGCAGTGAGCCGAGAACGCGCCACTGCACTCCAGCCTGGGCGACAGAGTGAGACTCCATCTCAAAATAAATAAATAAAAATTAAAGAAAGAAAGGTTTGCTTACTATCTATCTTGCTTACTGTCTATCCGACCACATGCTTACTCTAATCTGCCTAGTAGAACTCTTTCCTGCCTATTTCTTTTCAAAGAATCTACATATGTACCTAAGATTCTATAAAATACTGCAGAATATCATAATGAAGAGGATTCTATATGTTTCATAAATTTATATTTCAGCAGAGAAGGCCAAATTTAAATTTATTTATTCCTAGTATTATTTGTTAGAATGGTACTTGAATTTTTATTGCATGCCTTGGTTTTTCTAGAGCTCCATATTTGAATTTTCAATACATGCAGGACAGCATCTGAAATCATGCAATTTATTTGATTTAAGTTGTTACATATTAAGCATCAGTGCCATCTTATTTTCTTCTATTTCCATCGTTGTCATCTGTCTCCTACCTGATGGCATCATTATCTTTCCAATAGTGAATGTGAAGCCCACTGAGTCCTCACTCCTCACTCTGCCTCATCTGCTTACTAACCATTATCCAAATCTTCTCTGTCCTACATCAGAAATATATCTCAAATTTGATGTACTTTATTACTCCCTTTGTGTAGTACTCATAATCTCTTATCAGTAATGAAACAATAGCTTCCTAAATGATCTTCATGCTTCCAAGCTGTCCCTATGTTAATCCATCTACTGGATAACAATCAATGTTACTCCCAGGCTTAGAAACAAACAAACGAACAAACAAACAAAAAACCCTTAAATATCTTCAAGGGTAAAGTCAAAATTCCTTAATTTTACTTTTCTTGTTGTTGCAGTAGTTTTCACAATCCTCAGCAACTTTGCCTTGCTATTACTGTTTTTAGGCTACCTCCTCACTTTCATTTTACCCATATCAATCTTCTCATATGTTTTTACATACTAACATTTTCAGGCTGTTATTCAAAGTGGTCCTTAATTTTGTATTCTATTTTTAATGTTTACAAATATTTTTTACAATAGATTTTTCCGTCTAAATGAGCTAAGTGATTTTCCACATTTATTTCCAAGAAGAAGATTGCAGAGGTTAAGAGTTTAGTAATGTTCATGTTATAATTCGGTATGAATATAATTTTGTTGATGGTATGTACACCTAAGGGTGTAAATAGGTTAATAGACAAAACAATAAAATAATGAATGAATTATTTAATTCGGTAGCTCATTAAAAAAAATTCTTCCCTTTCCTATGTCCCCAATTTGTAGGACACTAAAAAGATAACAATACTATTTTATTATTAACGGTCATTATTTCTTTTTCACCTAGCAGTTTTGGTTGAAATTTTGTGTTTCAAATATGTAATGATTGCAGGAAATAATGAACTAATTTTTAAAATTAACACATAAAAATTGTGTATATTTATGTTGTATAACATAATGTTTTGATATATGCATACATTTTGAAATGGGTAAATCAAGCTAATTAACATATGCATTACTTCACATAGTTATCTTTTTCATGAAGAAAGCACTTAAAATCTCTCTTAAAAAATTTTAAGTGCACAATATCTTGTTATTAATGATAGTCATGATCATGTACAATTGGTTTGTTGAACTTTTTCCTTCCATCTAACTGTATCCTGTGACCAACATCTCCACTGATCTCCTCCACCTCCCAGTAGCTGATAAACAACATTTTACTGTTTGCTTCTAAGAGAAGTGAACTGATTTTTATAAGAAAATATTCTTTTAAACTGCATATACACTTAGGTTTGTATTAATAAATTTAGAGCCAAAAAAGCCTATATGCCTTAATATACAAAATATATTCAAACACAGATACATATTGCTGAACGATCCTTTGTCATTACAAATAAATGTTTATGGTAAGGTAAACATATAGAATGCTTAGTCATTAGAAATTGACATTTATTAAGATTTTTGAAGCTAGTGAATTTTGTTTTTTTTTTTTTTGAGACTAAGTCTCGCTCTGTCACCCAGGCTGGAATGCAGTGGCACGATCTCTGCTCACTGCAGCCTCCGCCACCCAGGTTCAAGCAATTCTCCTGCTTCAGCCTCCCGCGTAGCTGGGGCTACAGGCGCGTGCTGCCACGCCTGGGTAATTTTTGTATTTTTAGTAGAGACAGGGTTTCACCATATTGACCAGGATGGTCTTGATTTCCTGACCTCGTGATCCACCCGCCTCGGACTCCCAAAGTGCTGGGATTACAGGCGTGAGCCAACGCACCTTAATGAGTAGTATTTCTTCCACTTTTTAACGATGATAACTACTTTATTTTCTATTATCAGCTTTAGTACTTTAAATCAGCATTTAAGATTTGAAAAGTTGTCCTTAGAAGTGTTCAATGTATTTTACACCAATGAATTTAGATTTTCTCACACTAGGGAAAAGAGCAAATTAGAATGTATTAACCTATCTTTAGGCACGCACTTACTTGTTTTCAAGTGTTTACTACCAGAAATTGTACACTCAAAAAGTCACACGGTATGTGCTTTGCATTTTTTTTTTAATCCATAAAGACTCTGCTTCTAGCTGTGAGTTTGAAAATATCTGCCTGGTTCCACTAAATCCTGAAATTATTTCATGGAGCAAACTTAGAATCTGATTGAAGCCCTCACATCAAATATGTTTTCCTTTTCCCACCCATCAAACACTAGCTTCTCTGACATGTGCGGAAGCAGATTCAAATATGTAAACCTGTAGGTATGATTGTTAGTCACTAGTAGTGACTTTGTTCCTCGGAACTTTATTTTCTATAAAACATCCATGTTATCTCCATAGAACTCAGCCTTGGCATTATCAGTCCTCTTGACATACAGCCACATTCTTTCCTGAGGATTGGATCCTTGGAATGACACCACATGAGGTCTTAGGCCACCTGTTATGTGAGAAGATAAAACAAACCTTCAGCACATATGCCAAATAGGCAAGAATTGTCGGTTTTTCTTAGGAAACTCTTTTAAATTAACCAAGTTGAAATTATGTACTCAGAATACAATAAAGAGAAAAACATAAATACTTGTGCAATACCCTCAGGACCTGTGTAACCATGATTTTAGAAAATATTAATTCTCTAGCTTTTCTCCTCTTAAAATTGCCATAGTATATTAACTGAGTCCCATTATATGACTGAATAGTTATATTTACAGTGATGTTATTTCAAGCAAAATAAATACACTGAAGTTCTCTTAAGACTGGGTAATACCCAATTTTAACATTATTTCACAAAATGTTTAAAGAAATGATACTAGATTTAAAGCATGTTTAAAAAAAGAAAAGAAAAGAAAAACAGGAACTTGAGAGGAGGAGATCTGGATTCTAAGTTCCATTTGCTTAACCACATGACTTAGGATACATCACTGTTATCCTTTGAACTTCCACCTATCTCATCTGTAAAGTGAGAAAAAGAATATCTCTTCTACATATTTCAAAGCTTTATTGAAAGTATCAAATTGGATAATATATTTGACAATTTTAAAATGTGATGTGATGATCAAACATTAAAAAGAAGTACTACTAAAAGCTAAAGAAATATTCATTGCTGAGATACACATTGTATTTAGGCTCATAGGTCAGAAAATGTATTCTTAAAACTTCTGTGACAGCATCTAGTAAACAGTGTAGGTGGCCAGGCAATGCAGATTCCAGGCACTATATATACTTTTTATTCATCATGTCATGTAATCTTTACAACAATTCTCTGAGATTACCAATTTCATTAAACTCTCTGATCCTCAACTTCCTAAATGAAAGAGTGCAGATAAGTTGATCTGTTTCAACACTGAGGACCTTATATCAATTCTTATAGTATTGTCAACATTTATTGTGTTGACATGATAATGTGGAGATTCAGATCATTCTTAGACATTCAGGAACCAGAAGTTTAATGGTGGAGGCAAACCATGCAAATGATTTTAACACAAGATAGTATATATGATGAGTTCCTAAAGTGTATGGCAAGCAAATTTTAGAGCAAAGTGAAATAATTTGTAGGATTAGTAAATAGGTAAGTGTATAGTTGTTTGTTTTGTTTTGTTTTTTAGATACTCAATTTCAGTAATGGGATATAGGAGATAAAGATTTTTAAAAAAAGCACCTTAGAAACTTTTATAAGTAAAAGGATGCCCTGAAAATTATATCAGAACAACAAACTGAACCAAGTCTCTCCAGGCAAACTAGGATGGAAAGTCACCAAAATAATTAGAGCATTTTGATTTTGAGAAGAAAATAAAATATTAAGTAAATAACATACCCTTAGGTATATATTTTTTATATTGTGAAGGTATGAATTGTTTCAGTCATAAATTTTGTCTTGTGCTAGCATGCTTCACAAAGAAATGTGCAATTATCATGATAGCAATTACTTTCTACCCACAGCCAATTAAAAAAAAATTTAGACAGCTGTGAAATCCACTGGCTTACAATGCATTGGATTTAAACTTATTGAACTAGTAAACACTTTATTAGTCAATTATGTCTAATACCATTTTGCCAATTATTCATTTTGGTTTTTATTTTAATGGTAACTATATCGATTTAGAATTCAATTATAGATGTTGTTGCAAGTCATTTGTTCAATTATCTCCTCCAATATATTGGTATCCTATGTATTTATAATTATAAAGGGCCTTGATATATCTGGGGCTTTGAAACTGCAAATTAGGTGACTCTTTTCTTTGTTTCTTCCTTCTTTCCTTCCTCTTTGCTCCCCTCCTTTTAGTAAGATATTCTGTATCACAAAGTAAGTTACATTATTTCAGCACTATGACTTTTTTCAAGTTATCTTAAAAATCTAATCTATCAGTAAATACACTTTTTGAAAATAATTGTTCTAATATTTCCTGTGCTTGTTTCATGATTCATAACTTGCATAATAGTAAAGTTGCTCAAGATTTGGAAATCTACCTTGCCCACAAATTGACACAAGTTCTCTCCTTGAACACACCTACAGTTTGTGATTGTTTTCCACTTACCCAGCTGATGGACTACCTCTCTATCTCTCTATTTGCATTTACTCTCTATCTGCAGGCTTCACTATAACCTTTCCATTTCCCTCAAATGGACACTTTGTGTGTAAAACCCTTTCCCCCTCCTGTCTGCTAGAATTTTGTGTGTAAAACACTTTCCCCCTCCTGTCTGCTAGAATTTTTCTCTTCACGGCAGACTAGCCTCGTTTCATGGATGATGACTAGCCAAAGTGGTATTTGAAGATAATGACAGATACTGGATGGAGGACTAGACTGAGCTAGAAGCCTGTGATACACAGATAACTTCCAAATGCTTTATTTTTTATTTGTTTGCTTTCCCTTCAATTATCGCACATTATTCAAATATTAATACGAATTTAGTTCAGCCCACAGAAAGCATTATGGAGATTTCTCAAAGAACTAAAAATAGAACTACCATTTGACCCAAAAATCCCACTAATGAGCATCCACCCAAATAAAAAGAAGTCATTCTACCAAAAAGACAACTTCACTCATATGTTTATCATAGTGCTATTCACAAGAGCAAAATCATGGAACCAACGTAGCTGTCTATCAACGGTGGACTGGATAAAGAATATGTGATGCATATACACTGTGGAATCCTACAAAACCATGAAAAGAATTAAATCATGTCCTTTGCAGCAATATGGATGCAGCTAGAGGCTATTATCCTTAGTGAATTAATGCAGAAACAGAAAATCTAATATCATATTTTCTCACTTGCAAGTGGAAGCTAAACAATGGGTATACATGGACATAAAGATGGAAACAATAGAGGCTGAGAACTCCAAAAGTGAGCAGGGAAGGAGAAAGGTAGGGGTTGAAAATCTATTTATTGGGTTCTGTGTTCACTATTTGGGCAATGGGTTCAACAAAAGCCCAAACTACAGCATTATGCAATGTATCTGTGTTACAAACCTGCACATGTAAGCCCTGAATCTAAAATTTTTAAAAAAGAAAATATATTTTTAAAAATGCATTTCAAGTGATTCAACACACACACAAAGCCAAAAACAGATGCTTAACATAAAGTAACACCTTGTTATATACTCTGGTGATGACAAGAATTTCACATATTGCTAAGGACGCTGAATTAAATAGCATTTAAGGCTTATAAATAGTGATCTCATCTGTAAAACTTATATTAAATAATTCATAGGAAAATTTTGCTCAATTGGTGATTTAGGTCAATAGTTGTTCTCTGACATGTCTCAGAGGCCTAACTATGTTAGAAATTTGTTAATGCTTTTAAAATCTTATTTCAGCCAAGGTGGTAAGTTTTATGGTAATATATATTATACTGTCACAGGAAATTAGGCAAACAATATTTTAAAACTATGTATTATTTATTAGTCCTGTTATAAATTTAAAAGCACCACATACTATTAGTTCAAGGGAGTAATTAAAAATACAAAAAATAAACTTGAAAAAGAGTTCACACTTCTAAAAATTTTAATATTTTATTTCAGATGTGAGTGTACATCTGGATGGACTGGACAGAACTGTAGTGAAGAAATAAATGAATGCGACTCTGATCCATGCATGAATGGAGGTCTTTGTCATGAATCTACCATCCCTGGACAATTTGTATGTCTGTGCCCACCCCTTTATACTGGACAATTTTGCCACCAACGCTATAACCTTTGTGACCTACTTCATAACCCTTGCAGAAACAACTCAACATGCTTAGCTTTGGTAGACGCAAATCAGCATTGTATTTGTAGAGAAGGTAAGAGCTAATATGGATTTTATTGTTTTTAAATAATTACTTAATTAGTTTGTGTATTTATTGTGCCTATGGGATGATGGCCTCCTAAAATGGGTTGGAAAAATCCTATGTACATTGTGGGTAGGGGACTATCTAACTTCAAATCCAGTTATAAAAATGTATTAGAGAAATGCACCAAAGGAGTTAATCTAAGAATTAACCATTGGGAAGAGGGAAAAGAGTGAAGCTTTATAGCTTTTTGGCCCTTTTTTTTTCTTTCAGAAGTTGTCTCTCCTTTAATAACAGTTTCTCTTTTCTGAACAATCCTGTTCATGTAGTGTTCATGACAATAGCAGTTAGTTAGAGATGGGCATAGGTATAATTGGGGGTAATGAAATGCCCTATTGTACATTTTCTTCTGGAGCTATCAAAATATTACTTCTTTCTACTTAGATTGTTTAGTTACAATCACATAACTTTGGTGGCTACTTTGTCTCAAGAGAGAAATCCTATGCAAGAAAGAATGAGCAGTTCAAAAAATACTATTGGAGCTCCTGGATCCAGCCGTATCTGAAGCCAGGATATTTCTGGCTTTCTGGGTCATATCAGCCAATAACTCTGCTTATATCATTAAACTTTCTTGATTGGGGTCTCTTCATATGCAAGCGAAGAAAGTCTTATTAATGCACAGTGGTTTAGGTACATGTTCACTGTTCATGTATCAATGGCTACTCATAAGCAATTACCATCTTCAGTGGAAATGCTTCTGCTCCAAAACACATGGCCGGTTTTCAGAATAACTAGATGTGTCATAAGCATAATATAAAAAACACATTGTGTTTGGAGGCCCAAAACTGCAATTTATTTTCTAATACTCACTGTGGTTTCATGTTTTCCTGCCTCTCACTGGCCCTTAAGGGAGTCTCTTAATAATAAGGATATCACTTATTTACTCTTCTGTTCAAAAAAGTCAGCTTAGATGACATTAGTTAAACAGACATCTTATTCAAAGCTATTTCCATTTGTTTTGCATTAAAACTTCCTTAAGATGTTAATGTTTTTTAAGGATATTGAAGCAAGTTCTTGAACCTGTATACGTGACAGAAACTTCTGGGCCTTCTGAAGGATTAAAACTAAAAGCTAGAAAGCCATCAGTAATTGATTTTGCAAAAATAGCATGGGCTTTATAGAGCATATGAGAGAATATTTTCAAGAATGAGACAGGAAAAACAAGATAGAGAAGAAAAAAACGAAAAAATACAAGGGGAGCATTTGATGCCCAGAAAAATTTAGTAATTATGAAGAACATAATTCAAACAAGTAAATAGTTTTCCTTTTAGCAAGCACTGAGAGTGAAACTTGTTGAAAATTATTCAATATCAGTGAAGCTAATTTATTTACTAGAACAATTCTAAACATTCTACTACGTAGAATATTTTACTTAGCCTACTTACATGTCTAAGAATGTAAGAAACATATTATTATTTCTGAGAGTATAAGTAGGCTAAGTAAAATAGAAAAAAAATCTCAGAATATAAATATTTATTGAGGAGGCCATAGTATATTTATTCACTTTAGACAAACTTCCTTTGTTTTCACCAGAGATAATTTTCTGCAAAGTGGGCATTGTTTTCAAACCTTAATATTTTAAAAATTCTTTTGCTATTTATAAGTGCATTTAATAAATTTATAAAATATAGTGATATTTCTTTCCTGCTACGGGTTTAGGGAAAGAAAGTTTGGAAACATTTTAAAACCCTCTAGTCATATATTGAACTAGTAATGATATCTGCTGTCCCATTGAACATTGACAAAGATGTCATGGGGAGAATTTAGATTTCACTATTATTAAATAAATGTAATCTTATTTCCCCTTAGTATTTTATTATTGTACGTAAGCCAAATCAGAGCTTTGGCTAGAGTGGCAGGTAAACACAGTGAATTATGTGTTTATTCCTTTGTGATTGTGATTCAGTACAAAGAGATACTTGAAATGCACATCATTTTTTAACTAATTTGCATCTATGTTTTTCTAAACCTAATTGTGGAGTATGTTTCTGTAAATCAGATCTGAATACTGTAATAACGTGTCTTTAGTAGTTTTAAGTTCTGTAGCAGATGAAAAATTAAAGGCTGTAACATTGCTTTTAAAAACCACCTCAGAAAATTCAAAAGTTGACTATGCAACATTTTAGAAGCTTTGACTGGGTTACTTTAATAGCTTTATTTAAAATAGGTTCTATGTCAAAGCCAGTATATTGTTTTTAAAAGAAAACATTTTATCAAATTTAATTCTCACAAGTATCAACATTTAGAACTACAAAGAATTCCAAGACTTAACATCTACAGATATGATTTGGAAGCTCCACTGGATCTCTTTGTAAGTTGTTGGTGTTTGTCAATTGACTAAAATAGGACAGGTCGTAAGAGTAGAAATTTAAGGCTTTAGGCTAAGGATTCAGCGTATGTATTTCTGAACTTGTTTTCACAGTTTTTAGTCAGTCTGTAGGGTCTCTCACTAGATAAATATGAGTATAGGTAAAATTTCAGCCAGAGTAACAATGCGACTGTATGTTAGAAAACTATATTAGAAATGACATTCAAATTCACTCTGAAGGACCAGCAAGTAGAATAACTGATACTTTTGGGTTTACGTCAGACTGCATGCTTAGCAGGTAAGCTATTTTGGTTAGTGTGATTGAAATATATAGTAAAAATATATACATAGTAAAAAATATATATATAGTAAAAATAATCTAATCCTTTTAGCAAAGTAAGCTACTTAAAAAATTATCGGTATAGTTAAGCACCAGAACTATTGTGATCCTGCTTTGTGAGATAAATAAAGGGCAAAGCTTCTGTCTTCTGACTAAAACTGCGGTGATTAATTGGGTCTCTATGAATAATGAACATTTTCTACAGGAAAATGAGGAGGCAAAAGAGCATGTGACAGTAATAATTCAATATGGTTATTTTATATAAAATCTTATTAGTTTGGCACAATATCTGTAAGAAAATAGGCACAATATCTGTAAGAAATTAGCTTTAATAAATAGAAAAATAACACATAGGAAGGCACATTTTATGAGATTTCTATAAACAAATGGGTTTTATTTTTGACACCTCAATAGTGTTAGCTTTGATTATTTAGTATGTAATGAATTTACACACCTAGAAATTTATTTTATTGTAACCAACTTTTTTTGCCTCTATAAACTGTACTCCATACACAAATACATATCTATCTTGTAACTGCTTGTTGTTAGTGTTCTAGAAATTTTAAAAATATTAACTGATTCAACAAACATACTGATTTCCTATGATGTGTCAAGTCTTGAGATAGGTTCTGGAAAAATTAAACATGGTGAAGATATGCCCTCAAGGAATTGAAAGTTTAAGGGAGAGACATACCAGTTAATTAACCATTAAAGTACAATGCGGTAAAAGCTTTTGATAGTGACAGGAGGCAGCCAAATGCCTAGACAGATAAGGGTGGGTACCCGGTGAAACATCACCTCCAAGCCAATGCCAGTTTAAAGCTTGAAAGCCAAGCTATAAGTTAAATTCTCAGACAGGATTGAGAACTTGTCTTCCTGTTTGGTGCGCTTTCCTCTGATTGATCCCCACCCTTCACCTATTTTACATATACCTGCCCTTTCCTAATTGGTTTTCCACACTGTTGTACCCACCTTTGAGTCTTGTCTTCACTTTAACTTTTGCACACTCACAAACCAATCAGCAAGCACTCCCCATCCTGTGTCTATAGAAACCCCAGACTCAGTCAGTAGAAGATGAGATGGCCTGACTTTCGGGAAGAGACAGCCTGACTTCAGGTTGTACAGGAAGACGACCTGTCCTTCCTGTACCCTCTCCAGCTCCCCTCTCCTCTGAGACTTGTTTTCATCACTCAATAAAATTCTCCACCTTCACCACCCTTCAATCATCTGCATGACCTCATTCTTCTTGGACACTGGACAAGAGCTTGGGACCCACTGAGTGTGGGTACCCAGAAAGGCCGTCCAACCAGCCCTTTGCCCTCCCTGGCAAAGGGCAGCCACCCCATGTGACGAGGCAAGGCACCAACTGAGCTGCTAACACACTGCTGTCTGTGAATGGTGGAACTAAAGGAGCACTGTAAAATCCCCTCTGGGGCTTCAGTGTCACAGGCACCCTCACCTGGGTTCCACCATGTTCCCGCCAAGGCAACACACCTGGTCAGGCTGGGGGCCCGTGTGGAGCTTGCTCCTGTTTCGGCATCTGGAGTGGCCAGCCAGGTCCTGCACTTGCTGGCATATGTGCTCTCTCCCCCAAAAGCTTGAGCATAATAGACCAAGTAGATGGGGCACCTCTCCCACGAGTCTGCCAAACGGGCTGAGAAAAATCCTGCATCACTTCCACATTTATGCCAGAAATATGCACAAGGGATGACAAGTTGTGGATACATAGCACTGCTTTCTCATTTCTGTTGACAACTTTTAGTTATGTTTCGCATGATTTATAAGAGAGTCTCCAGCATATGAAGCCTCAGTTGCCCACAATTATGTGCTCATTAAACCACTCTCTTCCCTGCTTTATTTTCCACTCCCTTGCAATAATTCCTGGGATCTGGGATCACCTCTCAAATAAACTACTTGTGAGAAAATCATTATCTCAGACTTTTTTTTTTATTTTATTTTTGGAACAACCCAAGCTAAGACACATAGTAAATTCCATCCCCATGGTAACTATGATTTACCTATGTCTGGGCATGCATGTGAGTGGAATATTGGCATTCAGACCCCTTCTTTAGAGTTGATGCTGAGAGAAGAGGCCTTCTCTTTCTGCCAGATGTTTTCAATCAGTACAGTCAACTACCATGTTCTCTTCATGTGGAGATGATCTGTATATAGTAGGATAGAAGTGTTTGGGGAAGGAATCCTGGCAGAACTTACAGTTCTTTCTTCAATTTTGTGAACTGTCTGGTATCCCTCTCAGCTGGGTTACCAATATATCTCACTTCTTAACTAAGTTCATGTTTTTATTCATATGTTTATGGCCATTAGAGTAATGGCTAAAACATATAGTGAAGGCAAAGAGTTAATTAAGTGGGAAAGGTTGAATAAACTGGTTTCAACTTCAAGCTGGTAGAAATCAAATATAAAATATATCACTTGAGGGCCAGGCACAATAGCTCACACTTGTAATCACAGCACTTTGGGAGACTAAGGCAGGAGGATTGCTTGAGGCCAATAGCTCCAGACCAGCTTGGTCAACATAATATCTCTACAAAAAAATTTAAAAAAAATTAGCAGTGCGTGGTGGTTCATGCCTGCAGTCCTAACTGTTCAGGAGGCTAAAGCAGGAGGGATCACTAGAGCAAAGGAGTTTAAGGTTACAGTGAGCTATGATCACACCACTGCATTTCAGCTTAGGCAACAGAGCAGGACCTTGTCTCTAATAATAAAAAATAATAATAATAAATACCACAAAACCACATGAAGATTAAGAAGGTAAAGACGACTTCAAATAAAATGCATGAGAATGTGTGTGTTTGTAGCATAGAGTAGAATTATTATGTTACCATGTGTGTGTCTAGCCTAGAAATACATGTCAAGAATTAAATAATTTCTTTTCTAATGTTCTTTTTATGAATGGTTCTTTATCTTTCTACTTTGAATTACTCCACTTTCTCAGTTTATAGGCAAAAAATTACCCTATCAAATACTTCTTAATTTAATGTAAAGAGCTTAGTTTCTAAAATAGCTACTTTGTATGTCTTCAAGGTGAAAGGAACAGAAGTTTCTTTAAATGACAGGATTAAAATGTGGCAAAGATGCCTCACAAGGAGCTGCAGTGAGAGCAGAATCAGATCATTTACATGTGCTATTGATTTACAATTGGGATCCTACGCTTGATGGAATTGCAGTATCATGGGAGACAAGTAGTTGCATTTAAATGTGTCTATTACTCCAGTATATATACTATCATTATGTTAATTCCACATTACCTAAGGTATACAAGTACAAACACCAAATAAATGTGTCATTTGACAAAATAGTTTGTATAAATTAGAAATTACTCCTGTTGACAATTAAAAACATGTACCCATGTTGTAGCACATACCTGTTAAGGTTAATAGCTGTAGAAATTTGAATTTAGAAAATTCCTTAAAGAAAATACATACATAATTAAACATAAAACATGTTAAATATTTATTACTTTCTAAAATATTAGCTCTTCTTTTTTTTAAGTTCACTTTAAAAATAGATGTTAAAAATCTTATTAGAGACTATTGGAAATATTAATTCTGTATATTCATATTTCATAGTTTTTAAAGTTAAATTTAAAGAATTTCTTATATTGGTTAATTATTTTAGAAAATGTTAATATTTGAATACAAATATTTTTAAATAAAATAATATTTTTTTAAAAAATCTGACTTGCTAAGAAAAACTTCTGAGGTGTTTTTTTGTTTTCTTTTTATCAAGCTTTTAAATCCAGAGAAATTAGATTATTTAATTAAGAATAAATAGAAATAATACATTTAATACTTTTGAAAGAAAAACATTTTTAAGTGTTTGAGTTTTTATTTAAAAATATATGATTTTTAACTACCTTGTGTGAATTCATGCTATGGTATACACTAGTTTTTTTCCCTATTTACATTCATTTCAAATTATTCCAACTAATACCAAATATGAAGTGGAGATTGTTAAAATATAGTCCTGAATGATAAAATGCTATGTAAAATGATTTTTATGAAAATTTCATTATTGTACTCTGTTCCATACATTACCTTCTAGAGCAATAAAGTGCAAAAAGGCTGAATTTGTTAGAAAAGAGAAAATACTAAGTGATTTTAAAAAATAATACCTACAATCCAGACTGATGCAGATCTTACATTTGAGCAGTAGGTTTTAAAAATCAATTTTGTGTATTTTGGAGGAACGAGTGCAGAAGTATAAAAATATCATTTACTGACCATTCGTGTGTATTTGTTATAGCCATACACAGACGAGACAGTGTAAGAAAAGGATCAAGACAGTATCCATTTAAGAAGCTTCACTTTTATGCATGTAAAGATCCTCCCTGCAGTTAACAAAGTACGGCCAACCGAATAGTTCTGAGTAGGAATAAAGAACAGGGGAACAGCATAAAATTAGTAATAACAAACTTTCTGTTTGGGCAGTTTCTTACCTGTAACTTCATATATTCAAAACAAGTACCTTTCACAGAAATGAATATCAACTTCTAACATTAAGGATTATAGAATATGTAGTTTGGGATTAAGTATACAGTCATGTATTGCTTAAAAATGGGGATATATCCTAAGAAATATATCACTAGGCAATTTTGTTGTGTGAACAACATAGAGTGCCCTAACACAAACCTAGATGAGATAGCCTACTGCATTTATAGGTCCATTATAATATTTATAGATCATTGTTATTAGAAATGTGGTCTGTCATTGACCAAAATGTTGTTATGCAGCACGTGACTGTATGCATACTTCGCTCTTAAAATTCCCAAAACATAGGCTATCTCAGCAAAGCTTTGCTTTATATTGAATGCAATCCACATGTTATGTTTTCTCCCAATGTCTGCTGCATTTCGGCAATCTCATTTCCTCAACCCATTGACATATGTTGCTAGCTGGTAACAAAACTCCATCTCAGAAATGTCAAACTTAATAAATATGACAAAATCACAGGAAACAAGGTTATCCTGTGAGCTACCCAAGGTCCTGGGCCCTGAGTGTTCTGATTCATCAGCACAGCTGAAATCATGGAGGCTCACTGGTGCTTCTTTATAGCCAGTCAGTGCCCCTGAGTTCCACTGCCTCAAAAGAACATTTCTAAGAATCATTTTAGTGTCAAAATGCCCTGCCTCCCAGAGAAAACTAACCAGACTTAAAGTAGAAATGGTGAAATACACTCAACTTTCTCAATTTTTAACTTGTGAAAAATCTAACCTCAATCAAATACTTAAAGAATTAAACATCTTTTGAAAATAGAATCTAAGTTGTTTATATCTGTACTATGGCATTTACAACCTAAATATAGAAAACAGCAATGGCGATTGAAGAATGATGAAGCATGTTGGAACAATTACAACTTGCTCACCTAAAATGAGGAGAGCCATAATAACTTGGAAGTAATTCATTTTAATTTTGTTCCTAAAGCTGAGGATACAACACCTAGCGTATGAACGAATTACAAAAATGTAACTTCAGAGATTCATTTGCAGGCTCTGAGAATTGAGTAAGAAAAATAAGGCAAATTAAAAATATTGCTTGTCCTGAAGACTACCTGGTCTGCTAGCCCCATAAGTATGGCAGCTTACTTACAATTAGTGTTTCATAGTGTGTGATCATTCCATCTTTTAAATGTTAACCTATCATTGTTGTTATGTTTTAAATAAATTTCTTTTAGATATCTTGTAGTTTCTTCTGTTATTTAGTCTGCCTCTACCTTTAAATTGGCGTTTTTAAAAATCATATTTAATATAACTTTTGATATGTGTGGCTGTAAATACACCTTCTAGCTATTTGTTTTCTATTTGTTGTATCTGTACTTTGTTTCTTTTTCTGTTTTCTTTTGGATTAAGTAACTTTTAGTTTTCCATATTATATACTACCGAAGAGGCAGCCAGATTTTATAAGGTGTAACACCAAGCTCCCTGTTAAATTGCAACGGGAGGCAGGTTTGCAGTTTGATCCAATGGTAGACACCACAGAGAATGGCATTGACTGTGGCATGGTATGATATGAAAAGATGAAATAGGTCAGTCAATTCCGTGTTCTATCGTGGGAATCTGAGTGAGAAAATACCGAGGGAATTTTTCATTGAACAGTAGGTGCTGAAGCTGAAATGTCATAATATAGACATAGAGACCAAGAAAGCTGTGCTATATCACTCGCATGCCAACATTACAAGTGATTTGAAACTGAACATGCTGAGATATTTGTGATAGAAAGAGAAGAAAAAGTGATATGAGAAGGATAAAGGACATGTACTGTAAAAGGAAGACAGCTATTCCTGGGTAGCTAGACTATGCTTCCCTTTAAATGCTTCTTAGTTCCAATTCCAGTCTATGTGTATGCAAACAATGAATACAGTTTTCTTAAAGTAACCTGAATGACTCTTTGTTCCTCAAACTAAATTAGCCTGATTGCATACTGACATTTAGAATATTGTGTAATGTGGCTGCACTTATTTAGTGCTTGGTAATATCACTGAAAAAGCAAAATAAAGGGAAATCTTGTTTCTTACATGTTTGAACTAGTACAGAAAAAATATTAACAAGAAAAATGGTTTTACACATATATTTTGTTATACTTAGTTAATATATAACCATAGAATTGTTTAACTGTTTATTATAAATATTAATATATTTCATTGTATTTTAAAAAGTGATATCATGCAGGTTTTTTCTGACACAAATGTGTTGAAATAATTGCAACTGTCTTGTTTATCAGCCTGTATAATTTTCTTTCATGTTCATTTTTTTTAATATAACTGGCATGTGTTTAAATGGATGACTGATTATGTAGCTGTGAATCAAAATAATTTGTTTTCTTTGAATCACTTGGATATAAAAAGCAATTAAATAATTTGCTTCATCTGCTAACTGCCTTGAATAAATTTGATCATTGAAGCTCAATTTTACTTTAAGATTGGTCATCACATTAATTCATTTGCTTTCCAGATCATTTCAATTCTTCTTGTTCAAACATTTAAATACCTTAAAACAACAGCAACATTAGCAACATCTCTACCTTCTCAGGGGATTTAGTGGAGTATTCCTCCCTTGAATATTTCATTTAAACTCATTAATCTAGAAACTGGCATGTTTTTATGCACACATTATGTGAAATGGAGTTTTATGAGAAGCTTGAGAGTAATTATTTTCTTTTTCCTTTTTTAACCTCCATTATGAGTGTATTCTTTAGACTACCACTGATTCTGATTTTTTTACTCTATAACAAGGATTGCTCATCCATACTCATCTCATACTCTTTGCAGAATTTGAAGGTAAAAACTGTGAAATTGATGTGAAAGACTGCCTCTTCCTTTCCTGCCAGGATTATGGTGACTGTGAAGATATGGTCAACAATTTCAGGTACAGAAAACTTAAAAAGTATCTAGATACATGTTTATGTGTCTAGATGTATACAGGTATAGAATTTTAATTGGTGAATTAAGCAACAATTATAATTATTAAAAACTTGCCATGCTACAATTAGTTGAAGCATTGATTTTATACATATATACTAATGGAGTTACTAAATTTTTTGTTTAAAAGGTGTATTTGCAGACCTGGGTTTTCTGGATCTCTGTGTGAAATTGAAATTAATGAATGTTCCTCTGAACCTTGCAAAAATAATGGAACATGTGTGGATCTGACAAACAGGTGAGAAGCTACTTTTTATTAAATTAATTATTTGATGTGTGTAATTCAACAAGAAAGTGAGCACACATGTGCTCATTATGTAACTAAGGCAGCTGATCACCACTGATACATTTGTGCTTGTACCAGCACATCCTCATTTGTCCCATCCAATCACTTATGTCAAAAATCTCAAATTTTTATTTACCAATCTTACTGTTAGTTTATAGTGCTATTTGTATGTGTGCCTGAGCAAAATGCTCCTTAGTTTCCATGTTATTATAAGCAAAACAATATTGTGTAGAGTCTCCCGAAATTGTTGTTGAACATAATATTTTGTAATTCCTGTTGATGCATGTATCTGTTGCTCATTTTTAACTTTTATACAATATTTAATATTAAATATATACCAACATTTATCATTCTACTGGTTATAGATATTTGGACTATTTGCTTCTTTTGTCTTACCTACAATGATATTAAAGTTTTCAAATATTTCTCTAAATACACAAGTACTAGTATGTCCGAGGTTACATACATAGAAGTAGAATTGTTGAACCATTGGGTAAACATGGTCACATTTGCTAAATCACATTTATATTTTTCTCATTTCTTTTGAAAAATACAATTTTTGTATTATTAGCAGGGAATAAATGTTTTTATTGGCATTTTCAGAATGTTCCATTTTAGGCTGTGTGTAAAGTTATATCTTATTGTAGTCTCCCTGCATTCTTATAATAATATGAAGTTTAACAATTTTATGTACATTTTGAGATGATTAATTTTGCCTTTTTAGAAATGCCTAATTATGGCATCTGCCTATATATATATATATATATATACTCAACTACATAGGTATTTCTCCTAATGCTATCCCTCCCCTTGCCCCCCAACCCCTGACAGGCCCCAGTATGTGATGTTCCCCTCCCTGTGTCCATGTGTTCTCATTGGGCAACTCCCACTTATAAGAGAGAACATGCAGTGGTTGGTTTTCTGTTCTTGTGTTAGTTTGCAAAGAATGATGGTTTCCAGCTTCATCCATGTCCCTGCAAAGAACAGGAACTCATTCTTTTTTATAGCTCATAGTATTTCATGGTGTATATGTGTCACATTTTTTTTTTCCAGTATAACATTGATGGGCATTTTGGTTGGTTCCAAGTCTTAGCTATTGTTAATAGTGCTGCAATAAACATGCGTGTGCATGTGTCTTTATAGTAGAATGATTTATAATCCTTTGGGTATATGCCCAGTAATTATATTACTGGCTCAAATGGTATTTCTAGTTCTAGATCCTTGAGGAATCACCACACTGTCTTCCACAATGGTTGAACTAATTTACACTCCCACCAACAGTGTAAAAGCATTCCTATTTCTCCACATTTTCTCCGCATCTCTCTAGCATCTGTTGTTTCCTGACTTTTTAATGATCGCCATTCTAACTGGCATGAGATGGCATCTCATTGTGGTTTTGATTTGTATTTCTCTAATGACCAGTGATGATGAGCTTTTTTTCATATATTTGTTGCCTGCATAAATGTCTTCTTTTGAAAAGTGTGTGTTCATATCCTTTGCCCACTTTTTGATGGGATTGTTTGTTTTTTTCTTGTAAATTTGTTTAAGTTCCTTGTGGATTCTGTATATTAGCCATTTCCCAGATGGATATATTGCAAAATTTTCTCCCATTCTGCAGGTTGCCTGCTCACTCTGATGATAGTTTCTTTTGCTGTGCAGAAGCTCTTTAGTTTAATTCGATCCCATTTGCCAATTTTGGCTTTTGTTGCCATTGCTTTTGGTGTTTTAGTCATGAAGTCTTTGCCCCTGCCTATGTCCTGAATGATATTGCCTAGGTTTTCTTCTAGAGTTTTTATGAGTTTAGATCTTACGTTTTAATCTTTAATCCATCTTGAGTTAATTTTTGTATAATGTGTAAGGAAGGGGTCCATTTTCAGAGTTCTGCATATGGCTAACCAGTTTTCCCAACACTATTTATTAAATAGGGAATCCTTTCCCCATTGCTTGTTTTTGTCAGCTTTGTCAAAGATCAGATGGTTGTAGATGTGTGATGTTATTTCTGAGGCTTCTGTTCTGTTCCATTGGTCTATATATCTGTTTCGGTACCAGCACCATGCTGTTTTGGTTACTGTATCCTTATAGTATAGTTTGAAGTCAGGTAGCATTGTGCCTCCAGCTTTGATCCTTTGCTTAGGATTGTCTTGGGTATATGGGCTCTTTTTTGGTTCCATACGAAATTTAAAGTAGTTTTTTTTTCTAATAATGTGAAGAGAGTCAATGGTAGCTTGATGGGAATAGCACTGAATCTGTAAATTACTTTGGGCGGTGTGGCCATTTTCACAATATTGATTCTTCCTATCCATGAGCGTGGAATTTTTTTCATTTTTTTGTGTCCTTTCTTATTTCCTTGAGCAGAGATTTGTAGTTCCCCTTGAAGAGGTTCATCAATCACTTGTAAGTTGTATTCCTAGGTATTTTATTCTCTTTTTAGCAATTATGAATGAGAGTTTACTCATGATTTGGTTCTCTGTCTATTAATGTTTGTCTATTAATGTCTATTATAATAGGAATGCTTGTGACTTTTGCACATGGATTTAGTATCCTGAGATTTTGCTGAAGTTGCTCATCAGCTTAAGGAGTTTTTGGGCTGAGACGATGAGGTTTTCTAAATATACAATCCTGTCATTTGCAAACAGAGATAACCTGACTTTCTCTCTTCCTATTTGAATACCCTTTATTTCTTTCTCTTGCCTGATTTTGTTATTTACCCAGTAGTCATTCAGGAGGAGGTCATTCAGTTTCCATGTAGTTGTGTCGTTTTGAGTGAGTTTCTTAATCCTGAGTTCTAGTTTGTTGCACTGTGGTCTGAGAGACTGTTATGATTTCCATTCTTTTGCATTTGCTGAGGAGTGTTTTACTTTCAATTATGTGGTCGATTTTAGAATAAGTGCTATGTGGTGCTAAGAAGAATGTTTATTCTGTTGATTTGGGGTCGAGAGTTCTGTAGATGTCTATTAGGTCCACTTGGTCCAGAGTTGCGTTCAAGTCCTGAATGTCCTTGTTAATTTTCTGTCTCATCGATCTGTCTAATATTGACAGTGGGGTGTTAAAGTCTCTCACTATTATTGTGTTGGAGTCTAAGTCTCTTTGTAGATCTCTAAGTACTTGCTTTATTAATCTGGGTGCTCCTGTATTGTATGCATATATATTTGGGATAGTTAGCTCTTCTTGTTGCCTTGATCCCTTTACCGTTATGTAATGCCCTTCTTTGTCTTTTTGATTTTTGTTGGTTAATGTCTGTTTTGTCAGAGACTAGGATTGTAACACCTGATTTCTTTTATTTTTGATTTCCATTTGTTGGTAAATATTCTTCCATCCCTTTATTTTGAGCTTATATGTGTCTTTGCATACGAGATGCATCTCCTGAATACAGCACACTGATGGTTCTTGACTCTTTATACAATTTGCCAGTCTGTGCCTTTTAACTGGGGCATTTAGCCCATTTACATTTAAAGTTAATTTTGTTATGTGTTTAATTTGATCCTGTCATTATGATGCTAGCTGGTTATTTTGCCCATTAGTTGATGCAGTTTCTTCGTAGTGTCAATGGTCTTTACATTTTGGCTTGTTTTGGCAGAGGCTGGTACCCATTTTTCCTTTCATGTTTAATGCCTCCTTCAGGAGCCGTTGTAAGGCAGGCTTGGTGGTGACAAAATCCCCCAGCATTTTCTTGGCTGTAATGGATTTTATTTCTCCTTCACTTGTGAATCTCAGTTTGGCTGGATATGAAATTCTGGGTTGAAAATTCTTTTCTTTAAGAATGTGAATATTGGTCCACACTGTCTTCTGGCTTGTGGGTTTTCTGCAGAAAGATCCGCTGTTAGTCTGATGGGCTCCCTTTGTAGATAACCCAACCTTTCTCTCTGGCTGCCCTTAACATTTTTTCCTTCATTTCAGCCTTGGTGAACATGACGATTATGTGCCTTGGGGTTGCTTTTCTCGAGGAGTATCTTTGTGGTGTTCTCTGTATTTCCTGAATTTGAATGTTGGCCTGACTTGCTAGGTGGGGAAGTTCTCCTAGATGATATCCTGAAGTGTGTTTTCCAATTTGGTTCCATTCTCCCTGTCACTTTCAGGTACACCAATCAAATGTAGGTTTAGTCTTTTCACATAGTCCCATATTTCTTGGAGACTTTGTTTGTTCCTTTTCATTCTTTTTTCTCTAATCTTGTCTTCTTGCTTTATTTCACTAAGTTGATCTTCAATCTCTGATATCCTTTCTTCCACTTAATCTATTCAGCTATTGATACTTGTGTGTGCTTCACAAAGTTCTTGTGCTGTGGCTTTCAGCTCCATCAGGTCATTTATGTTCTTCTCTAAACTGGTTATTCTAGTTAGCAATTCCTCTAACATTTTATCAAGGTTCTTAGCTTCCTTGCATTGGGTTAGAACATGCTTTTTTCGCTCAGAGGAGTTTGTTATTACCCACCTTCTAAAGCCTACTTTTGTCAATTCGTCAAACTCATTCTCCATCCAGTTTTGTTCCCTTGCTGGTGAGAAATTTTCATCCTTTGGAGAAGAAGAGGCATTCTGGTTTTTAAAATTTTCAGCCTTTTTGCACTGATTTTTCCTCATCTTTGTGGATTTGTCTACCTTTGGTCTTTGCTGTTGGTAACCTTCGGAGGGAGTTTTCACGTGTTCGTCTTTTCTGTTGATGTTGATGCTATTGCTTTCTGTCTGTTAGATATCCTTCTAACAGTCAGGCCCTCTTCTGCAGGTCTGCTGGAGTTTGCTGGAGGTCCACTGCGGACCCTGTTTGCCTGGGTATCACCAGTGGAGGCTGCAGAAAGGCAAATATTGTTGCCTGCTCCTTCCTCTGGAACTTCATCCCAGAGAAGCACCTGCCAGAGGCCAACCAGAGCTCTCCTGTATGAGGTGTCTGTCGACCGCTGCTGGGAGTTGTCTCCCAGTCAGGAGATATGGGAGCCCTGGACCCACTTGAGGCAGTCTGTCCCTTAGCAGAGCTTGAGCACTGTACTGGGTGATCCACTGCTCTCTTCAGAGCTGGCAAGCAGGAATGTTTAAGTCTGCTCAAGCTGTGCCAACAGCCGCCCCTTCCCTCAGGTGCTCTGTCCCAGGGAGATGGGAGTTTTATCTATAAGCCCCTGAGTGGGGCTGCTGCCTTTCTTTCAGAGATGCCCTGCCCAGAGAGGAGGTATCTAGAGAGGCGGTCTGTCTACGGCAGCTTTGAGGCACTGTGGTGGCCCCCCCCTCCACCAGTCTGAACTTCCTGGCGGCTTTGTTCACACTGTGAGGGGAAAACTCCCTACTCAAACCTCAATAATGGCAGACGCCCCTCCCTCAACTAAACTCCAGCATCCCAGGTGGACTTCAGACTGTTGTGGTGGCAGTGAGAATTTCAAGCCAGTGGATCTTAGGTTGCTGGGCTCTGTGGGGGTGGGATCTGCTGAGCAAGACCACTTGGCTCCCTGGCTTCAGACCCCTTTCCATCGGAGTGAAGGGTTCTCTCTTGCTGGTGTTTCAGGTGCCACTGGGATACGAAAAAAAAAAAAAAAAAACAACAACTCCTGCAGCTAGCTCAATGTCTGCCCAAACGGCCACCCAGTTTTTTGCTTGAAACCCAGTGCCCTTGTGGTGTAGGCACCTGAGGGAAACTCCTGGTCTGTGGGTTTCAATGACCATGAGAAAAGCATAGTATCTGTGCCAGATAGCACCATCCCTCACAGCAAGGTCCCTCTGGGCTTCCCTTGGTTAGGGGAGGGAGGCCCCTGACCCCTTGCACTTCCCAGGTGAGGCAGTGCCCCACCCTGCATCTGCTTGCCCTCCGTGGGCTGTACCCACTGTCTAACCAGTACCAGGGAGATGAACTGGGTACCTCAGTTGGAAATGCAGAAATCACCTGCCTTCTGCGTTCGTCTCTCTGGGAGCTGCAGACCTGAGCTATTCCTATTCTGCCATCTTGCTGAGTCAGCATCTGCTCTTTAATGTTTTTTCTTCTTATGGCTTTGTAAGAATCCTTATATATGATTTTTAAAATATCTTTGTTAGTTGTATTTATTGAATATAAGTTCTGATTGAAATAGACACTTCACCTTTATAAGTTATATGTACTAAAACTTAATTTTAATATACTTGAATTAATTTATTATTTAGTATATGGTTTGCAAGTTTCATCTTATTTAACTTTTCTTTACACTAGGATGAAAGGATTTTTTCCCTATATTTCCTTTTAAAATAATTAAGATTATGTTCTTTATATGTAGATGCATCAGGTATATTGTATGTATAAGTATGAGTATGGGTGTAAAGTATTCTTATCTCATTCTTTGCACACTTAAAAAATAAACTCAGATTCTTATTTTTTTATATAAATAAGCCATGTCTGCTACATATTAAGTTCATCTTTCACTCACTGATCTGTAGTGCCTTCTTGGTTGCAGATCACGTTTCCACATATGGATATGTCTATTTCTCTATTGCTGTTCTGTTGCTTTAGTTCAGTTACTCATCCATGTGCTAGTGTCATACATCTTAATTACTTCCCTTTGAAATATCTCAATACTAGTAGGGCTATTTAATCTTCAGGCAGCTTTAGATATTTTGGCAATTTCTTCTGTTAAAATCAACTTTATTCTATATAAATATACATTCAAACAAGCAATTTTGATTGGAATTTCATTGAATGGGTAGGCCAATTTAAGAAAAATTGATATCTATTTATTTAGGTCTTTCAAAATATCTTTAAAAAGACATTCTGACAAATTCAAGTGGAGCTTCACTAATTAGAACACAAAATAATTAATTTTCTATGTCATAGCTGGACTCAGGTACCAGGAGCTCTGTTTATCTATCTTCATAGAGATCCAACCTTTAGAATTGGTGAAATTTGCATCAGATCCTGTTTAATTTTCCAACAATATTCTATCATTCATCTTATTTTCTGTGCCCTTTCTAGCTTTTGCATTGTCCAATCTGGTGAGGTAAGTAGGGATGTTTGGAATCACCACCCCTGCAACTTTCAGTCCTTTCAAGGGGACACCAATCACTACAAGTACCACAGGAATAGAGAATTGCTGTCACTTTAAAATCTCCATTGGTCTAAAGGGGCATGACAAGATCTTCCAATTGGATTTTCCTCCATAATAGCTCTTACCCCAATGTAAAAATTGTCCTATTACTAAATATATCAACTACACTGTATATTCAAGAATTGTGGGTAAAAAAAAACAAAATCAAAGAGAAGATGTATTTGTGGCCTCACCTGAACTGACCTCAATAATCTTATATTTCTACTGGTGGATCAGTAGCATTGCAGAGATAAGTATACTTTCAGAACCAGTATTCAGCAACTCCTAAAATGTCTGAATATCTTTCTTTCACCATAGAACAGTCATACTGGTAAATAGCCTCAGATACCTCTGAGGAAGTCTTCAAAAAGATACACAAAATACCTGTGACTCTATTAAAGATTCCTCTTAAGGAGGCAAAACCTGACCTTCGAGTGACTGAGTCTGTGACATAACTTAGGTTTTGGAATTGTGAAAGAGGCAGAGAATCCCTACAAAGCCAAACTGAATTATGTCTCTGTCCTCCAGAACTATACATTTCATTCTATATACATGAGGCAGCACCGTAAGTAGACTGTTTATATATTTCATTTCTAAAACCCCGTCATCAGTTAGCCTCTGCCATAGATATCTGTGAATCAGTCCACTGATGTCCACTCTGTTTCTCTGATTTATATGTTTATTTGCTCATTTTGCATCTAATTGTCAAGCATATCCAATAGTCTATGCATTCTTAGATCTATTGTAATTAACATCACGAAACCCAATTCCATGGCAACATCCAGCACTGTCAGCAAGGATATATGAACAAGGTGATGCCTTTCCAATATCTTTATATTGGTAAACATTAGAAAACAAAACAAATGCAATGCAACTTAATCATAAGCATCTATACATTACTTACTGTGAATAAATTATATAAAAGTATATCACTTAAATATTTATTAAAATGTATGATTGACTGAAAAAATAAGTCTCAGAATAATGTGATATGTAACTCATATTTAGTGAAGTATTAAAACATATTTTGAAAAATACATAGCATCTTAAGAGTAGTAATTTTCTCCTGGTAGAGAGGAATGGAGGATAATTAATTGAATGCATGCATAGGAGTTTCATACATATATATGTGTATGAAATGTGTGTACATATATGTGTAAATATGTGTACATATATGTGTATGAAATGTGTGTACATATATGTGTGTGCATACATATTTATGACATCTCATATATATATATGACAGATCAAATATGTTTTGTGTGTTTTCCTTAAAAATATTTCAGCAACATGAAACAATACTAAGATGAGTTAAATATGGGTGATGGGCATACAGGTGTTGATTATTCTATTCTTAGAAAATTACCTGGTGTAAATTATTATAATAAAAGCCATTTTCAATGAATTAAAATCTTTCACAGATTAAAAATCAATTAGCAGCTGAAAATGAAGTAGTCACATTTGATTGTCTTATCTCTTCTTAAAGTAATTTTTATTTTTTTGAAAAACTTAACCTATTGATAAAGTACTCACTAAAAATATTTCAAGTAATCTACCAACTCATTTAAAAGCAATAATTTTATAGTTACTTCAAAGTAAATTAAACTGTAGACACATAAACAAAAAACGTATTAAAAACAGTAGTTACTACATACATGCCTCATGGTTAGATTCATGTTTTTAATCTATTCTATTCTCTCTTATGGTTATTGAAACTGTGGCCTGCAACAATTAAGACTTACCTCTAGTAACATGATTTAAAGATGAATTTGCTGAGATATAATGGCACATGAATGACAGCCCCAATTAATATACAAATCCACTGCAAAAGTGAACACTGGAATTTACATTTTTCTGACACTTGATAGCATATGTTATCCCATGCAACTAATGTCTTTTCAAGTCATTGCTACTAGTTCATTTAGGTCACTCACAATAGTATCCATCTACTGAAAATTTACAACTAAATAGAATTTGCAAGAACAATTACAATAACAGTGGCTAGTGCATTTAAAGAAAAAATAGAAGAAAATGTTCCAAGTGCCTGGCTGATGTGATTATCATAGCGAGATCATTACCAACAAGCATATTGTGACCATTCAGTTTGTGATGTTCACGGGTTTAGCAATTCTTCACTGTTACAAATTTAAAAGTGATTGGTTAATATGCATTTAACCAAAAGACAAAAATCTGTTTACTCTTCTGTAATTGTTTGCCTAGAAACAGTCATCAATCCGAATGATGTTTATTCTACTAGAGAATTTACGATAACATCACTGTTTCAAATCAGATTCACACCCACATGCAATTATAATAAAAACATATAAAGACATGTTGTGAGTATGATAAATAATGTAGACATATATTTATATATAACATAATAAAGACATGTTGCAAATATAAAATAGATTATTCATATTCTAAGTAAAAATTGTCATTCATTGTAAAGAAGTGTGGTTCATGAATGCAGTTATAATATCACAAGAAAAAAGTAGAAATGCTTTAAAATACATTATAAATTCTTTCAAAATTTGAATTACTTTAACATAGGCTTAAAAGTCCTTATCAGAAAGTTTCACCAGTGGTTTCATTTTCTTATTTTGAATGTAAGCTTTTAAAAAATATCTACTGAAACAAGTATGATTTAATTTTATTGCAAACACATTTTAAAATCAAAACTCTCATTAAAACATTCTGTGTTATGTTTGGATTTTGTAATACTATTCAATCTATTTAATAATTATATTTTAAAATAACTTCAGAAGCATACAAATAATACATCTACTTATTAATTCCTCTCTCATCTGGAATACAAGAAAAAGTATATAAGAATAATGTAAATGAAATGTAATCGTGGCTAATTTGGGGGCTATAAATTCATGTGATTATCTTGTATTTTTCCATCTTTTTATAGTTTGGAGATATCATTTTATGCAAATTATAGTTACTCTTCCTTATCTCTATTTTAATATGTTGAATTTTCTTCAGAAGTCACTGTTAAAATGCATCTTAGTGATTGAAAAAGTATCTTGAACACCTATTTGAAAAATTTTAGGGCAATGTCAAATTAAAAATATGAATTATTTCAATACTTTGACAATATATTTAAGTTTAATTCTAAAACTTTTGAAGTAAAAGCTTTTTATTTAAATGAGAAATTTTTATTTCATCAAAAATACATATTTCATGGTCTTAATTGTTCTCTCAAGATAGAAGATATTATTATATATGTATATTTTAAAAGCTATGAATATTGAGTTTTATCAAAGGAAGGTATACTTTAGGGACCTTTAATATAAAATGCAGTACTGACTGTACATTTGACTGGATCACTTAGGACATTAATAAAAATCAGGTTTACATTTAATTTTTCTCTAGCCTTATTAGAGGTGGTTAGCATAAAGGGACCCTCAGCAGGTAATAGCGAAAGGAAAATACCAAAGCTGAAAGAATTGCACACTATAGCCAGAGGCCAGGAGGGGAAAAATTTGATGAGGATCTTTTCAGACATACCCTAGGCACTTTTATTTTTTTAACGTTTTGAAGGGCCAACGTTAAGTGCAAAGTAAAAACGTCCCAAGTGCTCAGCATTGTGCTTGCCCTTCCTATTAGACACAGGGAGCGGGAAGAGAGCAGGGCAGGGCAGGTGGAGGGAGGAAAGGAGGAAGAGAAAATAAAAACATTTAAATTTTTCTGGGAAAGCAGAGACAAGGATTAAAGGTAGTTGCTCTGTTGTAGAGTAAAATGTTATTTTCGCACAAATTTGCCCTCATATTGTTTAGTGTGGTGGAAAGTAAGAAATATAAGTTGAATATTTTCTGTAAACTGTTTCACCAGGGCTGCTGTTAATGTCGATGATTTTTTTTTTTTTAATCTCTATGAAATTTTAGATGCCATTCAGAAAATGTCCAAATGGACTCTAGAATCCCAGGGCCTTTTTGCATCATTATTAACAAAGCAGGGACCCCCAACATTCCAGTTGAACAGGCATCTGTGGTTTAACAGATTCTTGAAATTTAATAATGTTTGGAATTTATGTAAAAGTAAAGCATATTTTTGCAATGTTGAAAAGTTCAGATTTCAGGAGTAGTGTAGAAAGTAAGAAAAAATAATGGTCTTGATTGAAAGCAAAAAGGAAAGAGAGGTTATTGAAGTAGAAGCAAAGCATTCTTAGAAGAAAGGATCATTATGATTCATATTATTAAAAACAATTCTTCACATAGTTGTCTGTATGCCAAAAACTTTAGAAAAATAAACTTCCATAAGTCTTGAGATAATACATGTATGTTTATTTACTGTGTGATATCACTTTCAAAATCAGAAGCGTAAGGTACATATTTGAGATTCATAAAATAAGTTACATGATAAATGTTAAAGAGCAAACAAAAAAGCAGAACTTTTTGAGAAGTTCATCTTAAATTAGAGTAAATACATTTGAAGGATGGGCATGGAAGCAAAAAAATGAATATAACATATCGGGGAACCTGCCCTGATATTCACGTAGGTTCTTTTCTATTTTCCTTAAGCGTCAGCTGGCTTGAGAAATAAAGGGACAGCGTACAAAAGAGGGAAATTTTAAAGCTGGGCGTCCAGGGGAGACATCACATGTCTGTAGGTTCCGTGATGCCTCACAAGCCGCAAAAACCAGCAAGTTTTTATTAGGGATTTTCAAAGGGGAGGAAGTGTGCGAATAGGTGTGGGTTACAGACATCAAGTACTTTACAAGGTAATAGAATATCACAAGGCAAATGGAGGCAGGGCGAGATCACAGGACCAGGACGAAATTAAAATTGCTAATGAAGTTTTGGGCACCATTGTCATTGATAACATCTTATCAGGAGACAGGGTTTTGAGAGCAACTGGTCTGACCAAAATTTATCAGGCAGGAATTTCCTCTTCCTAATAAGCCTGGGAGCGCTATGGGAGACTGGGGTCTATTTTACCCCTGCAGTCTCAACCATAAGAGATGGGCACACCTTGGGGGGGGGGGGCATTTATAGGCCTATACCTCCAGGTGCATATTCTCTTTCCCAGGGATGTTCCTTGCTGAGAAAAAGAATTCAGTGATATTTCTCCCAGTTGCTTTTGAAAGAAGAGAAATATGGCTCCGTTCCACCCAGCTCACCGGCGGTCAGAGTTTAAGGTTATCTCTCTTATTCCCTGAACAGTTGCTGTTATCCTGTTCTTTTATTAAGGTGCCCAGATTTCATATTGTTTAAACACACATGCTCTACAATTTGTGCAGTTAATGCAATTATCACAAGGTCCTGAGGCGACATACATCTTCCTCAGCTGACAGGATTAAAAGATTAAAGTAAAGACGGGCATAGGAAATCACAAGGGTATTGACTGGGGAAGTGATAAGTGTCCATGAAATCTTCACAATTTATGTTTAGAGATTGCAGTAAAGACAGGCATAAGAAATTATAAAAGTATTAATTTGGGGAACTAGTAAACGTCCATGAAATCTTCACAATCCACGTTCTTCTGTCATGGCTTCAGTCGGTCCCTCCATTTGGGGTCCCTGACTTCCCGCAACAATAACATTTAGTAAAAACTAACAAAGGGTTCAAAAGGCAAAATTCAGAAGGAAATCATAATTGAAAAAACAAGAATTATGGGTAGGTGTCAGAATCTGAATCCTTTCATGTATCTTCAAGATAACTATACAGACAAAAAAAAATTAATACTCAGCAAAACCCACATCTTCATCATGACAAAAAGACATTTCACAAAAATTTCCCATTAACTTATGCAACAAGTAAGTAAGTATATTTAAGATAATGAAAATCACCGAAAACAAAATTTGGGGAGCAAAAGACAAGGGATGTTATGATTTTCTGATTTTCAAAATGAGAGAGAGAGAAAATTCTATAAATTAAGTAGTAAACTACTGTTTAAAAAAAATTGAAACAATTGGTGGTGATTATCATAAATCACTGAAAAAGCAAGATATCACCAAATAATTTTCTAGTATTCAATATTTCAAAATACAAAGTAGATTTTGAAACTTCTAAAAATATAATAGAACTGTCAGAAGTACATGAAAGAAATACATAAATTGAAATGAAAGTCATTGTTTTTATAGTAATATAACATTTTTAAATTTGTCAGTATGAAACAAATCATTTCTTGAGATACCTTTCACTGCTATTTCTGAGAATTCTGTGTCCAATTTCTCTCTATTCTGTGATTCCTTGGGATCATCATTAATTCAGTGAGAACACAAAGTAGCAAAGACAGTATTATTAACAAACATATCTTGATTTTAGTAAGACATTTAGCAGATTCATTACATTACTTCTCACTAGATGGGGAGATATTCGCAAAATGAATACAATGGAGAAAAACAGTTTGACTATTTGAACAAAAATTCAAGAAGTTAGTATTTGGATTAGTGTTACTCCAAAAAGGTGATTATAGTCAATTCCCTAGTCACATGAAGAGCTCTTGGGAAATACTCTACTCTTTCACCCAGTATCCCATTGCACATGACATTTTAATGCCTTCTGTCCAACTGATACAAAGATTCCTTACTCTTTCTTTTTCTATTAATTTTATTTTTCATTTACACATAATTGATATATTTATGTGTTGTTTTGTTGTGTTGTTTTGATACATGAATACATTGTATCATTATACTACATAATACATTGTATTACAGCACATTTGTTCATTCGTTTGTAATGAACGAATAAGGATAATTAGCATAGAGATCACCTCAAACATTCATCATTTCTTTGTGGTGCAAACATTCAAAATTTTCTCCTCTAGCTCTTTTGAATATACAATACCTTACTGTTTACTACAGTCACCGTACTGTGCAATAGGACACCAAATTTATTCTTCCTTTCTACATGTAATTTTGCACCCATCAATCAATCTTTCCTATCCCCTCTCCCCTACTGTCTGGCTTACTTTACTTAAGAGATGAATGAATAAAAAATATGTAGTATACATAAACAATGAAATACTCTTCAGCCATGAAAAAGAATGAAGTCCTGTTATTTGTAACAACATACATGATCCTGGAGGACATTATTGTAAATGAAATATGCCAGGCACAGAAAGAAAAATACTGCATGTTTTCATTCATATTCAGAATTTTAAAACACTGATCCTGCTCCTTCTTTATTAATACTGAGTAAGACCTTTTCTGTCACCTCTTGTCTAGCAGCTAGCCATGCTTTAACAGGACCTGTCTCAATTGACATGTATTTACTGTAATGTTTACATATCTGTATTCCTGTCCTGTTCCTGAGACTTTCAAAAGCAAGCTCTAGTTTAATTTACACTTGAATATGGGTACATGACTAATGTCTGGCGCTCAATTAATTAATGTAGGTTGAAGAAGTAAAAGGAGGAGCATGGGGAATGTTAGACTTCTGTGGTTATAAAATGATGAGTGAAGTTAATTAGGAAGAGTTTCCTAAAAAATCTAAATAGAAATCTAGCTCAAAAACATTTTATGGAAAGTTGCTAAAGCTTCTTTATCTAGACTTCTAAAAGGAAAAACTATGAAGAGATATTTTTGCTAAGTATACAGTTTCGATCAGTTTAATATCTCCTTTGGAAATTATTTCTTTTTTTTTGTTTGTTTATTATTATTATACTTTAAGTTTCAGGGTACATGTGCACAACGTGCAGATTTGTTACATATGTATACATGTGCCATGTTGGTGTGCTGCACCCATCAACTCATCATTTAATATTAGGTATCTCTCCCAATGCTATCCCTCCCCCCTCCCCCCACCCCACAACAGTCCCCGGTGTGTGATGTTCCCCTTCCTGTGTCCATGTGTTCTCATTGTTCACTTCCCACCTATGAGTGAGAACATGCGGTGTTTGGTTTTTTGTCCTTGTGATAGTTTGCTGAGAATGATGGTTTCCAGCTTCATCCATGTCCCTACAAAGGACATGACCTCATCTATATTTTGATACTAGTATTTATCAGGTTACAGTAATTATTTACCCAACACATTGTTTTTCAAAATTTCACACATAAAGAACATTTGAGCAGAACAAAATTTTGCAAGGAGAATTGCTATATTTTTTCAAAGAAAAAAATGAAATACATATATTATTTATTTCAATTAAGTTGAATGTCTTGAATTTAAAATATAAATATGAATCATATATAATAAATGATTATCATTGTTACATGGCTATTCCTCATTTCTCCACTTTTCTCCAGATTTTTTTGTAATTGTGAACCTGAGTACCATGGGCCCTTCTGTGAACTTGATGTAAATAAATGTAAAATCTCACCTTGTCTAGATGAAGAAAATTGTGTCTACAGGACTGATGGATACAACTGCCTCTGTGCCCCTGGTTATACAGGTAAATCCATATCTGTCCCATGTGCAGCAACATATTTCTGTCTGCAAGCAAATAGAAACCTCATATTTATACTCCAAAACCTGAAATAATCTGCCAGATGCAAACAGGGCAAAAATGTCAAGAGATAATTTGTCTCTTATAAAAGAAATTAATAAGAAGTAAAATTATGTGTTTTATCTTCAATTTATTAAATCCTAAGATTAGATTTTAAGTTATCTTACATTTTTATCTTTTACAGTAAATGTATCTTTAGTAAGTTTGCATGGCTATAATATACAAAAAAGTATTTCTGTATGGGTAATCTAACAGAAATAACATTATTATATCTGTTACAAAACTGTCATTTCTAGAATATGCTTAGCATTAAAAATATTTACATAAAAAGACAGCCATTGTGAATTTAAATGTAAAGCAAAAGAAGATTGGCATTAGCTGTCAGTATCAATTATTTCACAGCATAAATTTTATCCAAACATAAAGGCAAAAGTCATCAGGGAGCTTATAGAAGGTAGAGGCATTAGCCCTCTAAATTTCTGGTGAGAAATTGCATTTACAAAATACAAATAGCTATATTGTTTTAGTTTTGGCATACTAGTATTAATGATATGGGACTAACAATAATATAGTTTTTGTGTTATTTTGTTTCATATGTATTTTTTCAGACAATTCCCACAGAGATTACAATAATGTATTTACATCTCAAATCTCAGTTTATTAACATCTGATTTGTGCAGCACTAAAATCATATGGATTTCTATCCTGAGGGATGAGTAGTTAAATACATCTAATATTAGGTTCTCTGCCAGCAGGGATAAAATAATACTAGACACATGGAAATTATATTGGCAAGCAAAAATGGAAAGGAACTAGAAGTATTTCCAGAGAATAAGTAATCAAAAGGTGAGAGAAAGTTACGTGACCTTAAAAAGAAATATGAAGGTGTCTTTCCTGAGAAATCTTGATGGCTTCAGAGGTAATCTTGGTAACAAATCTCATATACACAAAAACTATCAGATTAAGTTAATATTTCCCAAAAAGTATCATTTTCTGCAAAGTTCATTACATATAATATACAAGAAACATTAAATTTCAACTATAAAACAGTTTACTTTCTAAGTTTCACATTGCCCATTATCTTCAAAATTATTGAGCTATCAATGTAGAACCATATATATCCACTCAGCAATGCCATTCACCTTGTTGTTGTTACTGCTGCTAGAAGTATTAAAATAAGAAACAACACACTGAGCTCAACATGACTAAGAAACACATTTTGTAAAATTATTTGTTATAACACCTTGCTCTGATATTTTAAATGTATCAACATTTGAAAGATTAACATGTTCTTTATTTTTCTTTTGATAACCTCTTTAATTTCATTTCAAAATATGGTACTTAGCATTGTTTTAAAATGATATTATCTAAGATGTTACCAGTGGCACATGATTTAAGATGTTTTAATATATGTTTGCATATTGGTACAGCTACAAGTAAAAGAAAACTCAATTAATTGTTATCCTTAATAGATAGGGTTCATTTTTTCTTACATAATAAGAATTCTGTAGGTAGACAGCTAATGGTTGTTGGTCCAGTGACTTGACAGTACCAGGATGGGGTAATGGTTTTCTTAGTTTTTAATTCATGATTATAGGTTCATGCATTCAGAATTGCTACTGCAATGACTTAAGTCATTATTTCTACACTTGAGTCAAAGGAAAAGAGTGGTGCTAACTGTATTGAGTCTTTCTATAAGGAGAACCTTTTTAGAATAACAATCAAAACCTGCTAATATGTCACTGAGCAAAACTGCTCACATGTCCATTTTTAGGTTCAGTGGAAGATAAGAAATTAAAAGTGTACCACTTTCAGAATTTACAGTTGAATATAGAAAAAATATTATGAAATATGTGTTACAGTTTGGTTTCAAACCAAGAAAGATACATGACTGGACATTCAAAAAGAAGTTTTCCCCCTCAAGAAAGTTACATGTATTTGTTTTTCTGTACATACTCTTTTGACATTCAAATTGACCTTCTCTTTCATACATGGACAGATAAAGCTTTTTCTTATTCTCAGACACTTAATAGCATTTATTTTTCTTAGCCTTCTCTGGAAATCTTTTTTTCAAGGCTCCTAAAGCATTACTGTTTTGTGAGATGTTCAAATCTATTCATTTTTAGGTTGTTCCATTTCAAGAGAGTCATGACACTGCAAGGTTTTACTTAAAGAATCTTAAACTTTAAAACACAAGGATGTTATACTTTTGTATATTTTTCAAGATCATACATCTGGTAGTGACAGAGCCGGAACCAAAATACACATCCCTCTCTAATTCCAGTTTTATTTCTACTCTAGCTTTGCTCCATCAGAAAAAAACAAAATTTGAATGTAATGGTATTAGTGATAGAGAGGAAAGTTAAAATAACATTAAATACAATATTAAATGTGTTAAAATTTGGTAACCAAATATATTATTCAGAAAAATTTAGCTTTGCCTACACCTATGAATACATTTAACCAAGTTATTAAGGATATAAATTTTTCAAGACTCTGACCAGGAAAGTTTATGATTCTTAATTATCTAAATCAGAGCATTCTTTGAAGAACACATTAAATAATATGTACACAGGCTATCAGTGATTAACTCGATACTTCTTCATTTTATGATTTGTATTCTATTAGCTGTTGAGGTTTTGTGATGATCAAGGCTGACATGGTTCTTATTCTTATGAAGACTTGTGGTATCTAGAATTGGAAGAAGATAATAAACATTTACAAAGTTGACTATTTAAAGCCATTCTATAATTAATTTATCTAGAGTATTTTTAATTAAACACTATCACAGAGTCCAAATTTACACACGTAGTGGTAGTGAGTTGACTGAATTTAATGAACAGGAAGTACACAAGTGATGGCATATGATCAAAGGCTTGCATTTTATCTTGCAAAAGATATAAATCAGTTTATCAGTAGATTTGCAGTGTTGTCTAACTTTGTCTTTCCTAAAGAATATTGGCTTACGAATTTGAGTTTTAATTATTAGTGATTTAAATATAGGAAAGATGAATATAAATAAATTTATATTGCTTTCTAAAATATTCACTCATTTAGCAAGAAGTCTCCTCTTAACTAGACACGATTATATATTATTAATCTGTAGATAAAAGTTTATGAACTTGTGCTTAAGGACTTTAAATGTGATTACATGTAGTCATGTCTACATTTGTGTTTATATCTATATTAATATTTATATATCTACTAGAAAAGTATAAATATTTTTAAAATGCCTAAGTCCTATCTCAGAAA
The DNA here is from genome assembly GCF_000001405.40 of Homo sapiens. NCBI lineage: Eukaryota > Metazoa > Chordata > Mammalia > Primates > Hominidae > Homo > Homo sapiens. The sequence goes on along the minus strand of NC_000006.12, from coordinate 64,883,390 downwards.
TAATAACTTTGATAATAATGCCATGTAGAAAACATATACAATTCAATAGTTCAGAATAATAAAATATAATTATGTTTGCTTCAAAGCGATGCACATTTTTTCTTGGATATGTTTCATATACACATGCAAACGTATGACTATATTCAGTTATAATATTTTCTGCTTGAGATAACTAAGCTGTCTTCTGAATACATTTTTTGCCAAATGCCCAATCTACATAAGAAGTAAAACAATCTGCCTTGAGTACATGTATAAAGAAGCATAGTTTGGGAAAATATGGACAATTGATCAATTGTACATTTTTGGTTATTGTAAAGATATTATTATTATATTGTTTCTGCTGCCTAAAATACCCCATTTATCCTATTGCAAGTACTGATCCTCATACCATAACTCAGATGCAACTTTCTATAGGAATCTTTTCTTAGACTCTTGGCTTCTGTTATTTTCTTCTATATCACCCATTTTATCCACTGAACTTATAGTTTTGTGAAATTCTGATTTAATTATCAGTTCGTCTGAGGAGACTCCCCAAATCTACTTGCTCACCATTTTATCTCTTCTCTCCATCAAAGTTTAGTCTACTCTGGTACAATATGTCAGCTGAGTTCCTAGTTTAACAAGATATATTAAAATAGAATATAAAGATAATTAATTGAATGGGAAATAAAAGATGTAAAAGCAACTTCAAATTTCTAATTACACATTATGCATCTGTAATAATTTAAACACAAAGGGTTTAGTGTTTATTTTTTGTTTGATTGATAACTATAAGTCTATAGATATAAACATTTAGGAAAATATTTGGTATTTGATTATATTTAGCTTTAGATTAATAGTAATCATTTTTTTTTGTCAACGACAGCAACATTATTAACATAGCATTTACCATTTCCTTTTTCTGTTAATGTAGGCAGGAGCTACATTAAACAGGCAACTGAATTGTGCTCAACCACTTTTCCCTTATGTGACAAGATTTAAAATTCACTTTCACAACTCAAATGTGCAAACATATATGTTATTTGTGTCATAATGAATTCCATATAATGTATGGGTAAAATTTCATCTAACAGAAGAAAATGTCAATGTGCCAAGTCGATGTGTGACTTTTTCAAGACAAAATTCAGTTATATCAGTTTTGGAGTTGAATATCTTTTTTATTCAGAGATCCGTCACTCTTTTGCTCTGTTTAATCTGGACGCAATGGAGAAAGACATTGTCCCTGGTATTTGGGTACTGTGTACTGGTATAGACTCTTGATGTCCATGTTCTCTTCCATGGGCTTTGCTTACTATGTCCAAGCTGTCTCATCCTCATTTGAAATCCAAAACCTCATTATAAAATTGCCTTTATCACTTAGAACTCGCAAATCCATTTCTCTTTTATCAAAAGCTGGATCTTACACATTGAAATTGCACTTTGAAAAATGATGTTTATATCATTGAATTACAAACATTAATAGTACTTTTAATTAACTTATTTTATAGACTGTCCTTGGCTTTTCTTAAAACAATGTTTATTTAAGTAAGCCCTTAAATCAGCTTAAATGGCAAGAGGAACAATTGCAAAGAAGGAATAAAACTTACAGAGTTTACATTGAAGATTTATATTCTAGATTTACTATCCAGATGCAAATTTTAATAGCCAATATCTTATTTTATTGAGTTATAACCATGAATGGACGCAGAATGCAATTGCATTTTCTATTTGCTAATGTCACAAATGTGTACGTGCCTCTTACATCCCAAGCCTTGTTGAAAACTCTCAGTAAAGTCTGGTGAACATAACAGAGAAGGTTCCCTACCCTAAAGGAGCTTATGTTACGGTAAAGAGAGATATTGAACAAAATCCAACTAAATATGTAAAGTAATCGGAGATATTTCCAAAGATATGAAAAAAATGTATAACTGAATATATTCATCCAGATAAGATTACCTTTGCTAACAAAAAAATGCTAAAATATTAAAATACAGTGGCTAAAATAAGAAGTTGAATTTTCCCACAGATGATATTCCAGACATTTAGACTTGGCACAGTGAATCTGTTATACAACATCATTCGGCACTTAGTCTCCTGCCACTACAATCAATAACTTGTTCTCATGTGTATGACTTTCAGTTAACTCTATTTTAGGCTTCTCATATTGAAAGAAATGAGCTTTCTTTTTAATGTCAAAAAAATGATGATAAGGGTACAAAAACCCAGCTCACATACAATTGTTAGGGGGTAGTTTTTGCACCTGGATTAATGCACTAGCATGAGACATGAGGTGAACTTGTTATGCAGTAATCAGGATGGACAAAGTGTCTCAATAGATGTAGTAAATTCTGAATTGATTCAGGCATCAATTCAGGCCAGGTGTGTCAGAGAATGGCAATACTACTTCCTAGAAGGGTTGGAGGATTTAACTCTCAAAGTTCTGACAGAAAGCTATGATCAAAAAAAAAATTTATTCACATTTATTTTATATATTATACACACACATAATATATAAAATAAGGCCAGTATAATATACATACTAGAGCGTGTGTATAGAAATATATGTGTGTGTGTATATATATATATAAAATCTCTTATACATAAGTATGTGTGTAAAATATAAACACAAACCTATAAATAAATATATATAAATATGTATATATAGATATATATGAGATATAATAGCTTAATTGCCTTATATGGTATTAACTTTCCACAGGAAAAATTCTAAAAAGAAATTAAAAACAAATGATTATGGGGACCAGGATGAAGGTAAGGAGTTGGGGAAGTGAATTTAAATGGAACATTAAGGGAAAGCTACGGAAAAAGTTGATTAGGTTTGGGTTCAAGATGCCTATAATATATTGGTACAAACACAGATATACAAATGTGTATAGAGAGGGAGAGGTAGAGAGAGATCAAGAACCAAAATTACACTTAATTACATATAAAGATGAAATAGTTCCTTACTAACTGATATTTACATTTTTATGTAATTGAATAATTAGAAGAAGAGAGTAAAGCAAAAAAGAAGCTTTGATATGTCTATGGGACATTAGAATCTTCATAGCATGTATATACAATTATATAAAAAAGCACCATCATATCATAAATTAAATAGGGGAAGCACCTCAGAATTTTAGCTATAGTTAGCAGTCTTGCAGTCTTGAGGTATTAGGAAAAAATATACAATGTACAAAGACTAATCTGATTTTAAAGGACTTACAAATTCACAGATTCCTCAAAATGCTTTGCTTTTTCCGCCTGTGTGTAATGAGGGCCCTGTGTTTAGCAATGACTATGCTTAACAGTTACAGAATCAGGTAACTAATTCTATAATGACACTAGGAAGAAAGAGGTGTTATACCAGCGACAGCTCTGGAAAAGGTATGATTTGCCTGTATAAAGCAGGAGTGAGGAGGTGGGAGAATAATATAAAACACAGCAGACCTGCTTCCAGAAGCAACTTCTTTCAACACTCTTAATACTTCTGATATTTACCTCTATATTTCTAAATGGCACAATTATACTACCATTTCTTGAACTTTTCTCTTCTGTGTTTCACATATCTAATTGTTTCTATGGATAATTAAAACTTAGCTTATCCCTATCCCCCTAACCAAATATGTTTTCTTACTCTTTCCTCCCCACATAGTTATATCAAAAATGTTATTAGTCAGAAGTCATTGTCAATAATATTGTAAATATATCAATATTCCTCTCTAATTTTATTTTTTGCTCATTTGAGGATTTACTTACATCTTCTTTTCCAGTGCCTCTATTACATTGTTAATATTTAGCTTTCATTTCAGTTCCCCAAAACTGTCTATCTTACCTAATATTTTTAGCGCATTCTGCAATGTTCACAAACAAAATATCTTATATTTTCTCTAAAATAATATTTATGAAGCTTTTTGTATGTTTTTTTCCTGCCTTGCCTCAGTGTTTCAGAATTTCTTTTTTCTGCGTGTATGTGCTATTTTCTTGTTTATGTATCTATTTATTTAGAGATATCCCTTTAATATGAGAAAATCCTTGAATATCGGTTAATGTCTAAGAGAGAACCATCAAAATGCTAACTGAAAAATCTGAATGAATGGGAATGCCTGACTGGTGATTTTGATACTATTTGTGAGTGAGCATCAAAGCCAGCTATTGTATTTTAGAAAGCTGAAATGTCATTATTGGTGGGTCTTTTCCCCTTCATAGGAAATGATAGGTGGAGATAGAGGTGAGGACATACACAGTGAGAAAATAGATTTGACAAGATTTGGTGAGCCAGAACCTAAGGGCCAGTTAGATAGTTCTGTTCAAAAAAGCCAACAAATTGCTAAAAGGGCAACACATAAAATTCAACTTATTTTTTCTACCGTGCTCTAAATTATTTCTTCAAACCCTTAGTGAAATTCTATAATGCAAACAAAAATGCGTGTTAATGGAACTTCAGAGAGTAAAATATCAATGCAGTTTCTAGCACAGGGCAAAATAAACACCAGGAGGATAGAAGTTGCAGCAGGAAAGAAGCACAGAGCAATGACCAAGAGGCTGGCATGACATTAGCTGAAGAGGTGAGTAGGAAAATACAAGTCTTCCAAGAATTGCTCATTAATGCTATTTTCAGGCTGCCAATTTTGACTCTTGTTAAAAAAAAAAATCCTTATTTCCCATGTTCCCAGCCTACATTATAGGACTCATTATTAAAATCACTCTTACTTGTCAGAAAAAAAATGCATGTGCTTAAAGAAACACACACACGCAAACACACACAGAGAAAAATTATGAGTGGGGGGAGGGAGAGAGAGAGAGAGAGAATGAGAATGAATGTTCTTACCTTGATTTCTTGACCACAAATCTCAAGAAAGCCCTTGGTGCTGCCTGACAATCCTGCTTCTTCTGAATCAATTGAATTTCCGAGTATCCTAGCCTACTATTCTAGCTTTATCTTTTTACACCATTATCAATCCTTTCTCTATTGAAGTTTCAATTGTCTTTGTTTCTTATATCCCTGAGAAAATAAAAGCCATCAGAAGAAAGCTTCTTTATCTTCGCACTAACAACTACCAAACTATACGCATCTGCATTCATAGACTACATTTTCTGTTTTTCCACATTCCTGTCTATTGTCAACCCTACTGCCCTACTGCTGTATGGATTCTCTCCATTATTATTATCATATTTTCTTTTTTCCGATGGAGTCTCGCTGTTGTCGCCTAGGCTGGAGTGCAGTGGTGCAATCTCTGCTCACTGCAACCTCCACCTCAAGCAATTCTCCTGCCTCAGCCTCCCAAGTAGCTGGGATTACGGGTGCTCGCCACCACACCCAGCTAATTTTTGTATTTTTAGTAAAGATGGGGTTTCACCATGTTGGCAAGGCTGTTCTTGAACTCCTGACCTCAAGTCATCTGCCTGCCTCAGCCTATCAAAGTGCTGGGATTACAGGCATGAGCCACTGCACCCAGCCTCATTTATTGTTAAGGAAAGTTTATCCTGCATTTATTTTCTCCAGCATAAATTATTCTCTCCATACTATATCACTTGCTATCAGCATATGAATAAATATTTACCTTTTCCTCATTTTGTTTTTGAATCTTTCTACAATGTGTAAAAAGTGTTAAACTACTACTCGATTTGTTTAAAAAAAAGAATTTTGAAACCTGCTGTCTATTGAATATCCATTTCCTCACTACCTATTCTCTTTCAATCCCACTTCCAATCATGCTTTAATCCCAAGATTAAAATGGTATTCTTCTTGTTGGAGGTCACTAATTATTCTCCATTGCCATTTTCTTTCCACATTGTGGTCATATTATCAGTAGCATTTTACCTATTTTGTTTATGTAAAATACCTTGTAAACTTGCACTCCATGTTTCCGCAATTATCAATTTCATCATTGTTTTCTCTTACTATTAGTGGATCGCATAATTGTTTAGATCATCATTATTTCTATTTTTAGATATGTTCACTGATTGAGGAATTTCAACCATTTAAAAAATACCATAAATATACTAATAATTCCCAAATATGTTCTATGAATCTTTGTGTCTCCCCTGAACTCTCAACTCATATACCCAAATAACTACTAACATGTTCATTCAGGTATCCATATAATACCTCAGACTGATTAGTACTGAGGATTTATTCCAACTGTGTTCTGCCTAGTGTTGTCCACCTCAGTGGATGGCATCATTATTACCCAGTTTCTCAGGCCAAAACTGTGGAGTTATTCTTAACTCTTTGCTCACACATCTCCATGCAGTCCATCAGCAAATCCCATTGGCTGCATCTTCAAAATACATTTTAATTCAACCACTTTCACAACCTATATTGCAATGATCCTAGTCTAAGCCCCCATCATCTCTTGCCTGAAATATGACATCTTAATTTGTCTCCATCTTCCCTCTTCTGATGTTAAAATATATTCACTATCTAGCACCCAGAGTGATCATTTTAAAATTAAAGCATATCACTTCACTCCCATGTTCAAAATCTTCCGTAGCTTCCCAAAATACTTGAACAAAGCACATACTCCTTACATTGGTCTGCTAAATCCTGTATAATATGGCCCCTAGCTACCTCTCTAATCTAATTTCTCCCTCAATTCCACAGTGTTGGCCTCTGCTATTCTATCTGGGTGTGTATCACTTCCCTCTGATAGCATGCTTTTCTGTATTATTTTATCAGGCTTTGTATAGAAGTTTCTCTTACAAGCCTACCTACATTATATAAAAATAACACTATGTCACTCTATTCAATTACCTTTTATTCCCTTCCTAGCAATTAGCACTTCCTAATAAGTCTGTCACTTAACTGTTTATTTTCTCTCTTACTACTTGAATTAAATCTCCTTGAACACAGGAATTTCTCTCTTTTGTTCATTATTTTATTGCAGTACCTACAAGAGTGCCTAGGACATTAAAGGCACACAAAAATTTTTAAAATAAAATCATATTTCACTTCAAGTAAGTTAATTTTTTAATTGTATACAATTTAAACTTTTTGAATGTTAACACATGTAACTGCTTAGTGATTATAGTTTTTCATAAAGTGTTTTCTCTTTTAATTTTCTTCTCATGCTGCCAATAAAAAACATTTAAAAAATTAGTAACCAATAAGAAATAAAATTCTGACTTTTAAAATGCTGACTTTTTGAAACTGTGGCAAACAATCTAGATAATTTTTTACAACCCTGTGAATCAGGTTCATTCTAAATTAAAATACAATATATGTGAGTATATAACATTAATTTTAAATTCAGATAGGATATAATTTGATGTAATATTACAAAGTAAAATTGTTCTTTATAGTAAATCTAGAGGTGAAGTAAAACACAAAATTTAGACTTTTTATATTATTCACTAACTCATAATAAATCTTTCTAAATTGAAACCAATAGCAAATTAAGACAAGTAACTTTATCATTGGTGATTCTTTATATAATATAAAATAATCTTGAAGCAGTTAATTTTTATACTCTACAAAATAAGATAATGATTTGAGATTAAGTAATGTCTATTAAAAACACATCAATTATCATATATTTATAGGTCATTATCCACCTATATTTAGTTTTCTAGGGCATCACATATTTTAGAGTAATTGGCCTCAGATAAATTATATATAATAGATAGAACATTAAAATACACTTTTAACATTACAGAACAAATTATGTAAGAACATTTTAATTAGAATGACCTAATTAAAGACCAGTGGTACCAAAAATTATAGTTATTGGATGATTTAATGTGTTAGGCTCTGATGTGGTTGTTATTCCTAGTTGTTCAGTGTTTCTTCTTCTTCAGTTGTTCATAGTTTCTTTCTATACATGGATGGCTCCTATGTATAGAAAAAGACCCTCAAGAGGGAGCAAAGACTCAGCGAGCACTTTACATAGGGAACTTTCATTATGAGGTGAGTTGAGACCACTCAGAACTGCTCATTTCAAATGCAACTGATATCAGAGGCTGGACAAGGAAGAAGATATAGCCCGGAGCACCCAACTGAAGTTCTAACCATAAGTGAGAACTCAAAATACAAGATTACATTGCCATATGTAATCACAAAAGCTCAATAATTCCCAAAGTGCAGGGCTTTCTGGCAAAGTTATTATGAAGAGCACACCTAATACCTATGTCCCAAAGCATGAACATTTTAATTCTCCAACTTCCTCAGCACACACACACACACAAATTGGTGCAAATTGAGGTAAGAATTGAGTGTACAAAGCACATTCCAAGCAAAATATACACAACTGGCTTCTTGGAAGATTGGGGTCAATTGAATGGGGAAGATCAGAGAGTACATGGAGGGAGGCAGACCTACAGGTATATTTCTAGAAAGCAGGCCTTGATACTTCCTGCAGTAAACATAGCAAATGACTCTGGTGCTCCAGGCTACATCCTCTTTCTTGGTCAGCCTCTGATTTCAGTTGCATTTGGAATGAGCAGTACTGCATTTGGAATGAGCTGTACTGAGTGATCTCAGCTCGCCTCATCATGGCAGTTCCTTATATCAAGTCTTTGCTCCCTTTGAGGATCTTTTCATACACGATGTGAACTACCTTAGCATACAGGCACGTTCAGGCTCAAAATACAAGAAGTCAGTGCTCCTAAGACACCCTTCAAACAACTAGGGATGGAAGGTAATTTATAAATATTCTAATCACCAGCTTTACTTATGGATAATCCTGATTATATGTTATTAACTTTCTAAAGGTCATTATGTAATTATTTAGTCATTGCCCAAATAGTAACCATAATAAGATTTCTTCTACTGACTTCGTTATTCTCTGATTTCATGTCCCGAGCTCCTCAATTTTACTTCCTAAAATCATCTACCAAATGCATTACTGCACACAAGCCCCCATCTTAAGTTCTGATTTCAGCAGAATCCAAACTAAAATAATGAGTTTAAAAATCAAAACAGGAAGGAATCCAGTGAAGGTGCCCAAAGCCCAGGTATGGAGCATACTGCATACTTTTTAAAGTATGGAAATCCTTACTGTCAGTATCTGAGACATTACAATTTGAAAAACAGATTTTTCACTAATTGAGTAGAAAGGGAAGAAAAGAGAATTCGATACAATGAAATTCTACCTCTTTTGGTTATGTGAGTCTGAAATTACTTCACCTATGGAAGCTAGACAATGAATCTATAAATCTTAACAACCATGTAAAATGCAATGTGCTGCCTATAAAGGAGAAAATATCTTTACTTTTGAGACTGAAATATTCTAGTCTAAATGACTATTGATGGCATCTCCGAAAGTCAATGATTTTTATCTGTAACAAAGTGCCTTTCTGCACTGTCATTATTCAGCTGAAATGTGCTGTGGTTTCATACAAACTGGTCAAATTTAAAGAAATCTTAAAGACACTTAAAAATCAAAGTTTTGAAGTACTACCAGGCCATTTAATTGTGGCTTTTAATGGGGAAAATAAATAGAAATATAATCCATTAGAAAGCAAAGAGCTTTGAAGACATTTGCAATTTGAAATCTTGGCCCTAATATTTCTAATGCAAAAAGAAAAAAATGTGCCACATTTATTTTTTCATTTGTAAAATTTATGTATTTATTTATTTTTAATTGACACATAGTAATTGTATATATTTATGAGGCACAATATGATGTTTTTTTATTTATGTAAACATTGTTGAAAGATTCAGTCAAGCTAATGAACATATCCATCTCCCCACTAACTGATAATTTTTTTTGTAATGAGAATGTTAAAAATCTATTTTTAAGCAATTTTGATATATGCAATACATTATTATTAACTATGGCACCCATAAAATGTGATAAGTCACTACAACATATTCCTCTATTCTAATTAAAAATTTGTACCCTTTGATCAATATCATCCCTTTCTCCACCTTGCTCCTTCCTCCAGCCTCTGGCAACTGCCTTTTAACTCTCTGTTTCTATGGGATCAACTCTTTGGATTTCACATAAAAGTGTCTCCCATGTTTGAAAGGATTCTTTCCTCTGGTGTTGTAGTGGAAAATTAATTTCACTGCTTGATATGATTTGGCTGTGTCCCCTCCCAAATCTCTTCTTGAATTCCCATATGTTGTGGGAGGGACCCGGTGAGAAGTAATTGAATCATGGGGATGGGTCTTTCCCGTGCAGTTCTCATGATAGTGAATAAGTCTCACAAGATCTGATGGTTTTAAAAATGGGAGTTTCCCTGCACAAGCTCTTTGCTTGCTGCCATCCATGTGAGATGTGCCTTTCACCTTCTGCCATAATTGTAATGCCTCCCCAGCCATGTGGAACAGTAAGTCCTATAAACCTCTTACCTTTGTAAATTGCCCATTCATTCTCAGATGTGTCTTTATCAGCAGTGTAAAAACAGTCTAATACAATGCTCTATTTTAGTTCCTTGTTATTTCCTTACAGATCTTACCTTGTTTTAGTCTCTTTAGCATTTCATCTCTTAGTCTTTTTCATAACAGTTCCCACTGTTATCTGGCTGAAACAAATTTAATCATGTGAGCATATTGATCAAGTCACACTTTACTAAGTGTGACTGCACTCCTGAAGTTCCTGTTATACTTCCTGGTCCATTTATGGAGCTCCTACAACATGCCAACTTGTCTAGGTACTGGGGGAATTGCAAAGAACATGTTAGACTTCCTGACTCATGCTGTTTATGTTCCTTTGAGACTCTAAGATAATCTAGCTTTCCTGTGTTTACTCTCACTATCATAATTTTGATGATGCTGGAACTCTAGATTTCAACTGAGGCTTTAAAGTGGGTGAGGATTAAGGAAAGGTGAGATATTGATTTACATTTTCTCATCTCTAAACACAGGGGAGTCAACTACCACTCCCTGGAAGCAGAGGGGCTATAAGAGATGGTCTCCTTCTTCTGCATCTTGACTTCCACTTCCATGTGTTGTGGTCAGAAACTTTGGGCTGGATCCTATGTCCTCAGCAAGAAATCGCCAGCCAGCCAGATTTTCTATCATCAGAAGATAGGAGTTTTGACTTACTGCACCATTGGTTTTCAACATTTAATTAATTATTAGGCAGCTTGCTAAATGTGGCCCACAGGTTGAATATAGTCTGGATCTGTTTTGTTGGGCAAGATAATTTATAAAGGTGAGATAATATTTATAAGTTAGATCATTACATGATACCCTTAATTTTTGCTTCTTATTACAATGTAGAAGACCTGTAAACATTGGGCATACATTTCACTTTGGTAACAACAGGCTGGCTATGAGGAGTCATTACCTCCTTGAGATGGGACATACACTCTCCCTTTCATATGAGTTGTCAACTGTACTTATTTAGGCTATTTACCTGGCTACTATATAAATTTGAATTTGCTACCACCATAACTTCAGAGGACAGTAGAAACAAGATTCTCCATCTTTAATATATCCACTCCCTTCATTTGCTACTTTTGTCCAGAGTTATCTATTTCTGGATAAAGACTTTTATAATCACCTCTCAGCCTTCTGCTCTTTTCATTGGCAAATGAATGGTTGCCTTCTTTTTCAAATTCTTTGTTGTCAATCCTTGGTTGGCTTATCCTTTAGAGCCATAACAGAAAGACCCTGTTAACCTTTAAACATCTGAGATTTAATTTTCTAAGGAAAATTACTATTTACAAAAATACTCTGGTGAAACCTACCTTCTCTCAAGAGGAATAAAACAAATCAAAGCTGCATCTGCAAAATTTGTACAGAGTTTGGGAGGAGCTGACTAGCATTTTAGTAATTGTGTTTTTAGCATTGTGTTTAGTATGGTGTTGACCTTTAGAGAAAATTTTGACTCCAAGAGAGCAGACATAGTTACCTACCTTTATTTATCAGCTCAGAACATTTCTTTTACTCTGTTGTCCTCTCTAAGAGCAAGAGATGACTTTTATTTTTATCCCAAAAGTATTGTATTTCATTTAGGAAGTTATATAAACATAGCATTAATTTCAGGCCTAAAAGAAAACATGTGTTACCTGTAGTCAGTTAGAGACATTTAACTCCAATACCACAATGCCCTCCTAATCTTTTCAAAAGGGATATTAAGTAGATCTACAGGTACTTTCCACTCTGTGACCAAAACAAGATTTTTTTTTTTTTTTGAGAAGCAACTGTGAGAAAACCTAGCAGAAAAAAAGTTTAATGATGGCCTGTTCCTTAAAATATCCATTAGGGTCTTAATGGGAACATTGAATATTATGCAAATGGCATGTTATGCAAATAATATTATGTAAAAGATATTTATTAGATGTCTATATAATTGTATAATCACAATAATTGTAATTCACACAACAGCAGAAAAATCGTAGAAACTTAATTTTGAGCGAAATAAGCCAGCTTCTTGGATGTTCATATTTTTGACTTTACTCAGTTGAATGTAAGATAATTTAAGCCATTATTTCTTCAAGCATTCTCTGTGTCCCTTCCTTTTCATCTTCTTCTGAGACTTCCACAGTGTGTATGTTGGTCCACTTGATGGTATCCCACAAGTCCCTTAGGCTTTGGTCACTTTTCTTCAAACTTTATTTATTTCTGTTTCTCTGAATTCATAAATTCTATTGTCTTATCTTTACATTCACTATTTTTTTCCTTCGGTCTGCTCAAATATGCCTTTAAGTCCCTCCAGTGAATTTCATATTTCTGTTATTGTAGTTTACAGCTCCAGAATTTCTCTTAGTTCCTATTTAGGCTATCTCTTTACTCATATTTCCAATTTGTTCATATAGTTTCTTTACATTCTCCACATCCTCTATTACTTCTTAAGCATCTTTAAGAAAATTATTTTAAAATTGTTGTCTGGTAGATCTGCCACGAGGTATTATTCAGGAAGGTTCTGTTGGTTATGTTTTTTGTTTCCATTTCAATGGGCCATCTTTTCCTGTTTCCTTCTTTCACTATGCCTTGTGATGTTTGTTGAAAAGTGGATATTTTGATCTTATAATGTTGTAAATCTGCAAATCAGATTCTCCCACTTCCCAGCTTTTTGTTTTTTTTTTTTTGGAGGGGGGAGGAGGGGGGTAATTGTTTTTGTTTATTTTTAGTTTTTTAATTGTTGTAAGCTGACTCTGTATCAAGGATCACCCTAAGTTGTAAACTTCTTCTCAAGTAATTTCTAAGCCTGTGACTTTTGAGTATTCACAATCACTTTCTAATATGCACATTTTCAGCTGTTATGAATAGCACTTTTATGAATATTTATGTGTAAGATTTGGGGTGTATGCAGGCTTTCAATTCTCTTTGGTATATACCTAAAAGTGGAATTTCAGTGTTATATGTTCCTACTCATCTTGTGTAAAGAAACCATTATCCATCCGGTGATCTAAGAAAACAACATGGAAACTATGATTGATTGTTTTCTTACTCTCACCCTCGTATTTAGTGCCTGATCCTTTCAGTTCTAACTTAAAAGACCATCTTAGATGTCTTTTTTTTCTCCACTGTTAATCACTTCAGTTGAAATAATAGCCATCTCTTTTTTGTATGACTGCAGTGATATTCTCAGTCAACCTCCTTACTTCTAGTCTTACCTTTCTCCAATAAATTCTTTACAGACTTGTCTTACATAAAAAAGAAAAAAAAAGATCTTATAACTCCCCACTTAAAATAATTGAATGCCCTCTCATTTTTGTTAGAATAAAGTCAAAACTTAACCTAATTCTCAAGATCTTTTATAATCTGCTTTATCTCTGGCTTGTCTCTCAACATTATATCAAAACATTATCTCTTTAATCATGCAAGTTCACGAGCTGCTGCTTATTTCTCAAACATGCTACACTATTTTCCTTTGGAGATTTTGTTCATCATGTTTCTTCTACAGAAATATCCTTTCCTCAGATGTGCACATGGCCATTTCCTTCTATTCAGGTCTCAACTAAGATTTTTTTTCTCTTAAAAGGGAACTCTTTATGATGAAATAACCCCAAATTACTTCACTATGTCATCTTTTTTTTAAATTTTCTTCTCATTCATTACCTTAGTTTGTAATTATCTCATTTATTATTTTGATTGTTAGTTCTTCCCTTGAGAACAAAGTTCCATGAGGGCAGGGACTTTCCCTGTATCCCCTGGTCCAGATATAAAAGAGATGCTGAAAACATGTTTGTTGAAAACAAAAAAGAATTAGATGAGATTGAGGAACTTGTATTTTTAGTTAATTCAGAATAAATAAAAACAACTGAGCATGGATTATAATAGTCTGAACAAATGTTCATGTTTATGGAACATGGTAGTTATTTCTGTTAAGCTCACAAGACATAGAGCCACTCCCTTGATGTATCTGAGTGATAAGTAGATAAGAGAATCCTTTCATATAAAATATAAAATGAAGTGTAAGGTATGATAAAATGATAACTGAGAAGTCACAACTGAGATCTAAGAAAACTCAATTTCTAGCATATTACCTAATTAATAAATTACAGTTTAAAGGATTAAAAGGCTCTTACTTATTCAATTAAGTATATTTAGTCGGAAGTCTTTAGACAGTGAAATATTATTATTTACTGGGGAAAATCAAAAGGGAAAGAACACTGAGCTTAAAAAGTCTCGTGCAAGTCCGTTTGTAGTAATCATGTAAAGAATGATAGAAAAATTCCAAAGGTAGTACTCAAATTGTAATTCTTTTTAACCTGATGGCCTGTTTGTATAATTTAATCAACACCTTCAGAAAAATATGTTCCTGTAATGAAATGACAAAATGTTTAATCTTCCTAGAAAATAGTATTCTCCCCCATCTTTGAACTTTTCTGAATATCCTCCTTCCATATGGAGACCTTCTCTGGTTTATTATGTATAATCAATCCAACCCACTTAGTTGATACAGCAAGAATTTTATCAAGTAACCAATACAAAAATTTATTAATTCTAAGAATAATACCTAAATGTTTTGCGTAATAGTCTAGCCACATAAGTCATAGATTAGGGTATAATTCATAGTTAATTGAATATGATGGAGTTATATAAGATTACATAATCATTGGAAACATTGGCTTTGTATTTAGGTATAACGAAGCTGTAACAGAAAATTTACATTTAGTGGCATTTTACATGCTTTCTCCATTAATATTTTGTAACATGCATTTATGTTTTAATAAGTTAGAAAAAATTGTCACTATGAAAATGAGAAAAAAATATCCAATTCTACATGAGTACAGAAATATTTGTGTTTATTCACAAGTGAATTTCCAGGATTATAAACCACACTTGTCACATTCAAAGGGTTCAATAAGTATTTAAAAATAAACAAACAAATACTAACATCAGAAGACTTGAAGTGATTTTTTAAAATAAAAATATAATTTAAATAAGATTAAAATGATATGTAAATGAATTAATAAAGACAATGTTTTCAAGATTTTGAAATATGCCATCTTTTCTTTATATATTTTATGAGTATTCGAACAATCCATGGTATTAGAGCTTCTTCTAAATGATATACAAGGGTTTTAATTATCCACAGGCTTTTTATTTAAGAAATAAAATCAAAATTAATGATACTTTTAGTGAAGCTTGTCTAATGTCAGTTGTCTAATGAAAGTTCATTTTATAACAAGTGTTGATTGAAGATAAAAGACCAGGAAATATACACAAATAATTACAATTCACTTAGTCTGAAGGCTTATTTTCAAAAGTAGAATTTAATTTTGTATGGCTTTCTAACATAGACTTGGAATTTTCTGGAAGTTCAAGCAAAGGAAGTTTTTATCAATATTACAGAAAATTCAGAGATAAAAACAGCTTGGTTTAGTAAATGAATATTGGACCACATACTATAATAATACAAGTAACATCTAGAACATAACTCCTGCCATCAAAGATAAGATAAACAGGCTAAGAAGATAAGCATCTATAGAGAACTCAGATTTCATTGACAATGGAATATTGATAATGGTTTTTGAGGACATGGACAGATTTTTGCTCTATGTGTCATAGGATCACCTGCCTGATAGGTTAGTCAAGAAAAGCAATAGGAAAAAGATAGAATGTTTGTGAGTTCCTACTGTGGACCAATTTGAAGGCATTTGTCATTTGATATCTCAACATTCTGAATTAAGCATATTTCCACCTTACACTTGAGAAGACAGGACAAATTTAAATAAGTTGTATTAGGTGAAAAAGATGGTAGAGGATTTGAGACTGAAATTCAGGTTTGGCATTTTCTGAAACATAATTCATCTGTAGAAAACTAAAATAAAAACAAATGAACAAATTCTCTATAAACTTTTAATAAGTTTGTAGGAAATCGGTCATCTAAAGCTGGAAATAAAATAAGACACATGGTCTTTTTGATATTTTTATGCCTCAAATTAAATATCTGGATTTAATTAACATTTATTGAATGATAGCTATGTTCTAAATTTATTTATGCATAGTGAGTTCTCCTTTCTAAAATATTTTCTCCCTTTAAAAGTTCTTCTGTATTCCACACCCAGAAAATAAATTTACCTTCTTACCAGGCATATGTATACATTTTTGGAATATGAAGGTGATAGATCAATTGTGTAACTTTTAACTAATGATGAACTGAGTTTGTTTTCATTTTTTATTGTAAAACCATTTAAATCTCCTGTTTCATCACTCTTAATGTTAACCATCTGCTCTTTTTATTGAAATTGGAAAATTAATATTCTCAGGACAGTGGAGCAACTTTAAAGTATTTGTTTCATAGCAGAACTTGTCATTGAAAAAAATCACAAATTTCATCTTTAAAGATATATTTGGACAAAAATATATTTTATTAATATAAAGTAGAACTACAAATATTATCTAATAACAATTCAATGGTAGAACTCTAATAGCAGGAATGATAACTAAAAAATAAAAAACAGTTTGGGAATCATAAAAATTATATCTAACTAGAGGCCTTTTGAGCACATTTAATGTTCCTTCAATACAGGCAGAAAAATTCTATTGCTTTAAATATTTTAAAGGCTGTTGAATAAATAATAAACCATAGGGAAGCGTGACCTATATTGGCAAATTTAAAGAAAAAACCTGAGAAGCTATTCATTCTTATATCTCTACTTTATAAAATGACAACCAAATAATTTTGGTGATTGAAACAGATCTCAAGGTCTAAGAGAGACATTCAAATTTGTTGTTGCCTATAGGATGCAATTAATCAACTGTAGTAGGACTGTATTAAATATTTCCCTAAAATAGAAAGAGGCAATTTTCTTTAAAGTGAAAGAAATCCAGTATCAGTAAATTCCAAATAATCATGATAAAGATTTAACTTTTATCATCTCTCCAGACAGATTGCATGTATTTTCATGAACATGCAAAGAATGGATGATACAGTTTAAGCAGATTGCTAAATGTAATATGGTAATAAAAATAAGATTATGAGAATCAAAAAATAGACAAGAAGTAGTTTCTGGTAATAAATCATAATCTTTTACTTAACACTTTCAATTTAAAGAATCTCCAAACTGTCTGTAATTAATTTTTTAAAATTTCTGATTTCTGTTCCACTTCAGTAAAAGCTTCCATAAATACCACACCATAAATCTTGGAACCATATGTGATTCTGATCTCTACTTCATTCCCACATCCAATCCATCACAAAGTTCTATTAGTTTACACAATGAAATAATCTTAATTAGTTTACTTCTTCCCTTTATTGCAGCTACATCAGTCTAGGGTATCATTATCCTTCATTGAGTCCTAAAATCTAGATTCCCAACAGATATCTGTGTTTCTACATTCTTACCTTCCCTTTTCCAGATAGCAGAAAAAAATGAACATAATTTTAAATATACATTTAATAAATAACTTTACCCCTATAAACCCTTCAGTGATTTTCCTGCTGTGCTTAAAATAAAAGTTAATTTCTTAACATGACTGAAAAGGCTTATAAGACTTGGACACTGACAACTTTTTCAATATATGCATTCCAATGCACACCTATATTAAACTTTATTTTGTTTGTTTCCTGTAACATATCTAAAAATCACTCACTCTTTAGAAAACACTTCGTTTTTTCTCCTCTATGCCTGGGGTGCATTTCTAATGGCGTTCACATACTTGGCTTCTTTAGACATCAGCTCATATATTGCCTTCTTAGAAATCACCTCCTATAGTCCTTCCTCTTTATAAACTGATTTAATATCTATTATATGATCTCTTTTATTTTCTTAACAGTACTTACCATAATCTCAAATTTCTTAGACTTTATGTGTGTATATATATGCAATTTTTTATTTCCACACCTTGGTATTTATTTGAGTTACTTGAAAGTAGAAAGATATTTTTGTTCACAGCCCAGAAATATCCCTAGATAATTGGCTTTTGAATAAATATATAGATTGTTATAAAGCAACCAATATCCTAAGACAGAAAAGTTGGGTCTATAGAGAATCTTGATATCTGCAAATAACATTATTAATTTCTTTTTTTGAGACAGGATTTCCTTCTTGTTGCCCAGGCTGGAGTGCAATGGCGCTATCTAGGCTCACTGCAACCTCTGCCTCTCAGGTGCAAGCAATTCGCCTCAGCCTCCTGAATAGCTGGGATTACAGATGCCCACCACTGTGCCTAGCTAATTTTTGTATTTTTAGTAGAGACGGGGTTTCACCATGTTGGCCAGGCTGGTCTCAAACTCCTGACCTCAGGTGATCCAACTGCCTCAGCCTCCCAAAGTGCTGGGATTACAGACGTGAGCCACTGCGCCTGCCCCATTATTAACCTTTCTAAGTCAACTTAAAATTCTCAATCTCAGATGAGTCCATTAGTCATAGCACTTCTGGGCCAGACACAGTGGCTCACGCTTGTAATCCCAGCACTTTGAAAGGCCGCGGCAGGTGGATCACAGGGTCAGGAGATCGAGACTATCGTAGCCAACATGGTGAATCCCCATCTCTACTAAAAATACAAAAATTAGCTGGGCATGGTGGCGTGTGCCTGTAATCCCAGCTACTCAGGAGGCTGAGGCAGGAGAATCACTTGAACCAGGGAGTTGGAGGTTGCAGTGAGCCGAGATTGCACCACTGCACTCCAGCCTGGTGACAGAGCAAGATTCTGTCAAAAAAAAAAAAAAAAAAAAAGAAGGTATAGCACCTCTGTATTTCTCAAAATTATTTTTGCCTTCTCAATAGCACTTGTGCCAACTTAGCTCTGATTTGGCCTATGAAACTCTCTTTTAATATAAATCTAAAAATATAATTTAGCCAGTACCAAGGGGGACAGTGGATGAGGTCACAAAAACATATCCTTCCATTTAGCAAAATCCCATTTAATAGATCTATGTATGACTTATGATTAGTAACCAGACTTTTGGATCCAATTGATAATCAGTCATTGGACTTACTCTTCTGCTGTATACAAATAAAACCTGGATAAAATATATTTTAAAGGCTTTTCAATGGACCTACAAACTGATGTGTGACACAAGAGAAACACATGAGATGACTGTCACATTGAAACCAATTTGCTTTCTAAGCTAGTTTCCAAAATGTAGCATAGGGAATTAGAATCCATACAGATAATAGAGATCAGATTGCAGGGTTGATTTGGAAATTTTGGAAAGTTGGACTTACAGGGAAGGTATTAGAAAGGAGGCAGCTTCTCAGGAAAAAAATAATAATTTAAAATATGCACGAGCCCTAGATTTTTGGTTGAATGCAAACCTGCACTTTCATAGACAACATTCTATAAGGGTTTTCAGAAAATTCCTGGAAAACTATGAGATAAATGGCAGGTTTAGAGTCCACAGAGTGTTGAAAGATGAATATCTGACCAGCCAGAGTTGAAAGATGATCATGACTTAAAAATAAAGCTACTATTGCTATATAATGAGAGCTATTCTAAGTGCACCCAAAGGAGGCTTGATAAGCAACAAGTCAGGCCACTAGCAATTAACAGCCCACCAGCTCAAACTGAACGATTTTTAAAGGAATAAAATATGCAAACCTTATATACTGTGATATCTTTACTATTCAGCATAAATTTTTTTAAAAAGTATGTGAAGAAAAAAAGTGTGATCTATATCTGGGAAGTAAAACAGATAATAGAAACAGATTCAGAGAATATAGACATTTGAATTGCCATGTGCTACTTAAAACAGATATTGCAAAAATGTTTAAAAATGTAAAGAAACTAGTGGGAATAATGAATAAATAGGTAAAAGTCTCAACAGAGAAAGGGAAAGAACTCAGAAGAATTTCTTGATAATGAAAATATAATATGCTTTCTAAAACTAAAATGGATGAAAGTAATAGTACAATGCATGGCGAAGAAAATATGTGGGAATTTGAATAGTCAAATTTCAAATTAAAGCAGACAGAGAAGAAAAAGTTAAAAATATGTATAGACCCAGTAACCTATGGGACAATATTACATGAGCTAATAAAAGAATAATGGAATTAACATTTGAGAGGATTAAAATATTAGAGCAGAAGAAGTACTTTAAAAACTATTGGCCAATCCTTTTTCTAAATTTGCTGAAAACAACATATCCAGAATTCCAAAATCCCAACACAACTTTAAATGGAATAAATACAGAGAACGTATCACGAAGTCTCATGGAAATCAATGATAAGGAAACTATCTTAAAAGTAGCCAAATTATATTTGAATATATACATATAAACACTTAGAATTAACTTTGATTTCTTATCAGAAACAATGTAAATTAGCAGAAAATTGAATAATATATTTTCTTATTCAGTTATGAAGAGTATTCACCTCAGTCTGTGCCATTACATACGAATGCCTGGCATTCAGTAAAAATAGAAGTTGCAAAAAAATAATAATAATTTTTAAAAACCTCAGCCATTGCACAGAGGAGGAGTAATCCACAGAACAAGACTGAATGATTACTCCATATGTTGGAACTATTTAATAGGAAGTTAAGAATAACTATAATTAATATATTAAAAGACCTTGGGGAAACAAAAGATAATATGAGTGAAAAGATGAACAATTATAGCAGAAATGTAGGAATAAGAAAGAGTCAAATGGAAAATTTAGAAATATTGAGCAATATCAAAAATTGTTTTCTGCTCTTACACAAAAAGCTGAGGTCATCACTCCCATAATCATTGAAACAACAACAAAATGAATAGCTGAAAAACAACTGAAGTCCACCAGATAATTGAGGTGACAAGACAAACCTTCATACACAAAACTAGAGAAACCAATGAATTCAGAGAATTGCAGCTGAACAGAAGCAGAATTCATTACAGAAAAACATAGATAAACTCTTAAAAAGACCCAGAGGGGGAAATGAAAGACCACCTCACCTATAGGAAAACAAGAATAGGCATTGCACCTGACTTCACATGCGAAATCAGAGAAGTAGAAAGAGAGTGAGATGAAATATTTAAAGTGTTGAGAGAAAAATATCACCAGCCTAGAAGTCACTGTCTAGCAAAATTATCTTTCAAAAATTAAAGAGAAATAAAGACTTTCTTTAAATAATAAAGCAGATAATTTGTCACCAGTAAACTATTTTGCAAACAATGTTAAAAAATTATTCGGAGAGAAGAAAAAATGATATTGGTCAGAAATTGAAATCTACGTAAAGAAAGAAGCATGGTCAGAAACCAAAATCTATGTAAAGAAAGAAGCATTAGAGGAGTAAATGAAGGTAAAA
Organism: Homo sapiens; assembly: GCF_000001405.40. Classification (NCBI taxonomy): domain Eukaryota; kingdom Metazoa; phylum Chordata; class Mammalia; order Primates; family Hominidae; genus Homo; species Homo sapiens. The sequence goes on along the minus strand of NC_000006.12, from coordinate 64,861,837 downwards.
CAAAATATCTTCTTAAAAGTGTTCAAAGTCTTAAAATTGTTAATAATAGCAAAGATGTATTATGTACATTGTGGATAAGTGAAATGAATGACAGCAATGTAATAAGTGATGAGAGGGAGGAAGTGGGAATGTTATATTATAAGGTTCAGAAAATCCCTTTGAAAAAATTTATTTAAAAGTGGACTTGTGATAGGAGTTAGGACCAGGTGGAAGCCCTGCCCTTTTCTGAGATGGCAGGGTGGAAGCCTTGCCTTCCTCAGCTGCAGCTGAGGCTGTCCAGCCATGGCTGTTAACCCAGGCATCCCTGAGCTCTTGGGGGCTGGGAGCAGTCAGGAGCCACACCTTCCCAGGTACACCTGCAGCCACCCAAGCCATGGCTGTGGACCCGGGCATCTCTGCACTCTCGGGACTGGGAAGCACCCCTGACCTCACTGGCTCAGAGGTGCCTGCTCCTGCTGCCTGGCTTCTTCCTGTTCCTTGTGCCCCCTCCAGTGAGCAGAGTTGAGTTGAGGCCAAGCCCGTGTGCTGTTGCAACCCAGCTGTGTGTGGGCATGCTCAGGGGAGCACTGACATGCCAGTCCCCTGCCGCCTCAGCCCCCTCTGGACTTTGGGCACCAACGAGCATGGGAGGGAATCTGAGGCAGGGGCTAAGGGCAGTTCCGCACTGGCCTGCCAGAACCCCTGGGCATGAACAGCCTGGACACCATGAACAGTGGCAGAAGGCAGACAAGTTCCTGGGTGGAAAGGGGCAGGTACCCAGTGAAGCCCCACCTTTAAGCCAGGAAGGCCTGAAGCCTGGGGTCTGGGTTGTCAGTACTGTAGACCGGAGCAGGAACTCATGGTGCTTTTTCTGGGCCTGCCCATAGCCACCCATAGTCCAATCAGCACACACTTCCTTTCCTCTGAGGCAGGCGGAAACCCAGAACTCAATCAGACTCCAGGACATGATGGGACGACCTGCCTGCTAAGAGGAGCTATCCACTGTTGGTCTCCTCTGAGCTGTTCTATTGCTCAATAAAGCTCTTCTTCACCTTGCTCATCCTCCACTTGTCTACCTACCTCTTTCTTCCTGGGCATGGGACAAGAACTCAGGACCCACTGAGTGGCAGAGCTGAAAGAGCTGTAACACAAACAGGGCTGAAAAACACCCCTTGCTCACCATGTTGCAGGCAACAAGAAAGAGAAAACAGCTGTGGCCCTTCAGGGAGCCCGGACCTAGGAGCTCCCCAAGCTAGGGCTGCAACACCCTCTTTGGGGCTCTGCAGGTCCTGGTGTATCCAACTTCCAGGTGCTACTGCATTCCCTGGTACCAGCCATGGAAGCTGCTTGCAGTACTTCTGGCCCAGTCACAACCACACAGGGAGCTGACACCAGTGCTGGTGCCTGGAGCTTCCAGCCCTGCCACAGCCAGTGTGCCTGGCTGTGTGCAGTGGCCCGACCCCACACTCGCTTGCTGACAAAACCCTTGCCACTCTGCTCAACCTTGGCAGGCATGGGATCTAGGCCAGTAGCATGAGCTGAGCACAGCCTGCCATGCCAAGTGGGCCCAGTGGCCCTGACCAAGACTTGGGCAATGGCACCACTGGCCACAGAGTTTTCTGGCTGGCAAAGTGACAGCCCAAGGATTCCATAGCACTTGGATTAGTGTAAATACATACTGCAAACTCTAGAGCAATCAATATTTTTCAAAAAGGAAGGATAGTATACACAAAGAGAGATCAAATGGAGTTATATAAGATGCACCACTGGATCCAGAAGACACAGAAAAAAGGGACAATATGTTTTTTAAAAGTAAGAAACAAAGAAAAACTGCCACAAATAGAAAACTGCTACAAATTTGGCAGTTATTGTTTCAATGAGAGAGATTAATGTTTTCAAAAGTGAATGATAGAAGAGATATAAAAAGATATACCATGCTAAGACTAATCAAAAGAAAGCTGAAATTTTTATAGGGCTTGCACTGAATCTGTAGATGGCTTTGAGTCACATGAACATTTTCACAATATTAATTATTTCTATCAATAACATTTGTATTAGTCTGTTTTCATGCTGCTGATAAAGACATAACCAAGACTGGGCAAATTACAAAAGAAAGAGTTTTAACAGACTTACAGTTCCACGTGGCTGGGGAGGCCTCACAATCACAGGGGAAAGTGAAAGGCACATCTCACATGGCAGCAGACAAGAGAAGAGAGGTTGTGCAGGGAAACTCTCCTCTTTAAAATGATCAGATCTTGTGAAACTTATTCAGTATAATGAGAGCAACACAGGAAAGACCTGTCCCCATGATTCAATTACTTCCCATCAGGTCCCTCCCACAACATGTAGGAATTCAAGATGAGATTTGGGTAGAGACTCAGCCAAACCATATCAAAATGGCATATATTTCCATTATTTTTGTTTTATTCAATTCCTTCATGAGTGTTTTAAAGTTTTCAATATACAGGTCTTTTACCTCCTTGGTTAAATATACATGTTGTAATATTTTTATTGATGCTACTGTAAATGGGATTTATAGTAACTATCCAAAAGAATATTTAAATATTCTTATAAATATAAATCTATTTATAAAACTAAATATAAATATATTAATATATTTAATAAATATAAATATATTAGATATAAATATTTTTAAATATTATTTTGGGTAGTTATTAGCATATAGAAATGTTATTGATTTTTTGTGTTGAAAGTATATCCTGTAAATTTGCTAAGTGCATTTATCAGTTCTAATAGTTTTTTGGTGGAATCTTTAGCATTTTCTATATATGAGATTACCAGGCCAGCAAATAGAGACAGTTCAATTCTTCATTTTCTATTAGAATACTTTTCATTTCTTTCTTTTGCCTAATTGCTCTGGCTACATCTTCCAATACAATGTTAAAAAGAAGTGGTGAGGATGGACATGCTTATCCTTGATCTTAGAGAAAAAGCTTTCAACATTTCATCATTGAGAATGATGTTAGCTATATGTTTGTTATATTTGACCTTAACTGTGTTGAGGTACATTCCCTTTATGCTTAATCTTTTGAAAGTTTTCTTTTGATCATTATGGGCAGTTGAATTTTAACATGAGGTTTTTTGGCATCTATTGAGATGATTTCATATAATTTTTCTTAATTTTATTTAATTGGTATCCTGCATTTATTGTTTGTGTACATTGAACCATACTTGAAACAGCATAAATACCAATTAGTCATGTTGTTTTTCATGAAAATAAAAAAATTATCTTAAATTTGGATGGAACTACAAAATACCCTGAATAGGAAAAAAATCCTAAGTGGCAATAACAAAACTGACACCATTACGTTTTCTTATTACAAAGCACATTATAAAGCAATTATAATAAAAACAGCATGGTACTAGCATAAAAAGAGAGACACATCAACCAATGGAACAGGATAGAAAACCCAAAAAAAAGCCCACATATTTATGCTTAAGCGATTTTTTACACAGGTGCCAAGACTACACAATAGAGAAAGGATAGTCTCCCCAATCAGTGATGCTGGAAAAACTGGCTATCCAGACACACGAATGATATTGGATCCCTGTCTCATACCATATACAAAAATTAACTCAAAACAAATTTTGAAAATTAATATAAAACCTGAAACTGTAAACCTACTAAAAGAAAACATAGCCAACAATCTCCATTACATTGGTTTGGCCAATAATTTTTTTAATATAACTCTGAAAGCACAGATAACAAAAGCAAATATAAACAAATGAGATAGCATCAAACTAAAAATTTCTGCATATCAAAGGAACTAATTAATAAAGTGAAGAGGCAACCCAAAGAATGGGAGAAAATATTTGTGAATCATACATCTGATAAGGAGTTAATATCCAAAATATTTAAGAAACTGAAACAACTCAAACAAAAGAAAACAACCTAATTTAAAAATGGGAAATAAAATCAGACATTTTTCAAAAGAAGACATGCAAATGGTCGATAGGTATATGAAAAAATGCTCAACATCACTAATAACTAGGGAAATGCAAATTAAAACCACAATTAATTCTCTCTCATTAGAATGGCTTTTATTTAAAACAAAAAAGAAAGAGAACCAATGTTGGCATGGACATGGAGAAAAAAGGGAACTCATGTAAATTGCTGGTGGGAATGTAACTTAGTAAATCCATATGGAAAATGGTATGGAGGTTCCTCTAAAAACTAAAAATAGAAATGCCATATGATCCAGCATATCTACTTCTGAATACATATCCGAAAGAATGGAAATCAATATGTTAAAAGTATATCTGCATCTCCATTTTCATTTCAGCATTATTCATGATAGACAAAATATGGACTCAACCTAAGTCTTCATGAATGAATTTCATCAATGGATAAAGAAAATGTGCTGTACATACACAATGGAATACTATTCAACCTTTTTTTAAAAAGAGAATTCTGTCGTTTGCAATAAAATGGATGAAACTGGAGAACTAAACGAAATAGGCCAGGCACAGAAAGACAAATGCCACATTATTTCACTTACATATGGAATCTAAAGTGTTGAACTCATAGTGGTTACCAGAGGTTGGGCAAAAGGAGAGAGGGATTTAAAAAATTGTAAGATTCAGTGAAAACAGTACCTATAGGGAAATGTATGGCATTCAGTGCATGTATTAGATAAAAGGATCTAAAACCAACAATCTAAGCTTACTTACTATACTTTATTATGGTATTGTTGGAAGTATAGACAAATCAATGGAACAGACTAGAGAACCAAGAAATAGACCCATAAAAATATAGTCAACTGATCATTTACAAAGAGCAAAGGCAACTCAATAAAATAGTTTTTTAAGCAAATGATGCAGGAATAACTAGACATCCACAAGGAATAATTAATCTAGATATAAACTTTACATATTTTCTAAAGATTAACTCATAAAGAATTATAGATCTAAATGTAAAACACAAAAATATAAAACTTCTGAAAATTAACATAGGAGAAATATTAATCTTAGTGTTTATTAACCTAAGTTACCTAGGGTTGGCATGAAGTTTTTAAATATAGCAACTAGAGCTTGATCCATGAGAGAAGAAAAAAAAACATAAGTTGGAAACTTATAAGTTTAAAGCTTCTGTTGTTTGAGATTGTGAAGGACTAAAAAGACAAGCACAAAATGAGATAAAATGTTTGTGAAACGTGCATATGTTAAGAAACTTATATTCAAAATACACAAATAACTCTTAAATGAAAGAATAAGAAAAAAAGTCCTTTAAAAATGGGCAGGCCAGGCACCATGGCTCACAGCTGTAATCCCAGCACTTTGGGAAGTCAAGGCAGGTGGATTGCTTGAGTCCAGGAGTTCAAGACCAGCCTGGTCAACATGACAAAACGCCATCTTCTAAAAATGCAAAAATTACCCAGGCATGGTGGCAAGCGCCTGTAGTCCCAGCTACTTGGGAGGCTGAGATGGGAAGATCACCTTAGCCTGGGAAGTTGAGCATGCAGTGAACTGAGATTGTGCCACTGAACTCCATCCTGGGTGATGAGAGTGAGACCCTTTCTGGGAAAAAAAAATACCAATGATATTTTTTTGATACCAAATGATACCAAATGCTGGCGAAAATGTGAAGCAACAGGAACTCTCATTTATTTCTGGTGGAGATGCAAAATGGCACAACCATTTTGGAAGACAGTTTGGCACTTTCTTATGGAGCTCTACATAATTTTACCATACAGTCCAACAATAATGTTCTCTAGTATTTACCCAAATGAGTTGGAAATGTGTATCACATAAAATTGTGTATATAATTGTTCATAGCAGGTTTATTCATAATTGTTGAAAGCTGGAAGCCCAACACATCCTATAATAGGTGCATGGATAAACAAACCAGTACATCAGTAAAATGGAAATTTACTCAATGATTTAAAAATTAAGCTATCAAACCATGAAAAGAACTGGAGCTACATTAAATGCATATTGCTAAGTGAAGAAGGCCAATCTGGAAAGAGTACATAATGTATGATTCTAACTTTATGTCATTATGAAAAAGGGCAAATTATAAATACTGTAAAAGGATCAGGAATAAATGTGGGAGGGGAGGAAAGTGGTAAAGCACATGGGATTTTGAGAGTAGTGAAACTATTTTCTATGATACTAGAATGGTGGATACATGACATCATGCAATTGTGAAAACCCAAACAACTATACAACCCATAGAGAGAACCCTAATATAATCTATGAACTCTTAATAATGTATCAATATTGGATCATCATTGTGGTTAATGTACCACACTAATATTAGACATTCATAATAGGAGAAAATATGTATAGGGGAAATAAGGTATCTCTCAATTTTTCTGTAAACCCCTAAACTGTTCTAAAACTAATACAAAACTGTTCTAAAAATAGTATACTCAATACAAAATAACAATATCAGAGATGAAAAATTCTTTTGGAATAAAAGCGAAAAATAAGAAAAAAACTAGAGAAAAGGAAAACTGAACAGAACACTGAAGAGCTATGAAAAGACATAAAACAGTCAATCATAAATATGAATGGAGTTCCAGAGCAAAAATAGAAAACAAGGAAGAAGAAATTTTGAAAAGATAAAGGCCAAGATTTCTACAAAAACGGTAAAAAACATACACCAATCCACAAAGCTCAGAGAACCTCAATCAGGATGAGTACAACACACACACACATACAGATACACACACACAAACGCGGTGGGGGATGGGGGAGAGACAGAGTGCTAAATAAAAATAGTAAAACTGATGCAAACCGTAGATAATCTTGAAGGCAGACAGAGAATATGAAAACATTATAATAAAAACTAAAATAAAAACAGTTGACTTTTGTCAGAAACTATGTAAACCAGAAGACAATAGTGACACCTTAAAAGTAATGATATTTAAAAAAACTGTCAACACAAAAGTCTAAATGAAAATATCTTTCAAAAGAAAAATAGGCCGAAAGGATTCATTATCATCAGACTATCACTTCACAACAAATTAATTAATATTTTTCCTCCAGAAACAGTATGATCCCCAACAGAAACCTGTATCTTGAAATAGACTGTCAGATATAAAAAAAAAATTGAAGGTAAGTGAAAGAGAAATACAATTTCTTTTTTTTATTATTATATTTTAACTGTTAGGGTACATGTGCACAATGTGCAGGTTAGTTACATATGTATACATGTGCCATGTTGGTGTGCTGCACCCAGTAACTCGTCATTTAACATTAGGTATATCCCCAAATGCTATCCCTCCCCCCTCCCCCCACCCCACAACAGGCCCCCGTGTGTGATGTTCCCCTTCCTGTGTCCATGTGTTCTCATTGTTCAATTCCCACCTATGAGTGAGAACATGCAGTGTTTTATTTTTTGTCCTTGTGATAGTTTGCTGAGAATAATGGTTTCCAGCTTCATCCATGTCCCTACAAAGAACATGAACTCATCCTTTTTTATGGCTGCATAGTATTCCATGATGCCACATTTTCTTAATCCAGTCTATCGTTGTTGGACATTTGGGTTGGTTCCAAGTCTTTTCTATTGTGAATAGTGCCGCAATAAACATACATGTGCATGTGTCTTTATAGCAGCATGATTTATAATCATTTGGGTATATACCCAGTAATGCGATTGCTGAGTCAAATGGTATTTCTAGTTGTAGATCATTGAGGAATCACCACACTGACTTCCACAATGGTTGAACTAGTTTACAGTCCCAGCAACAGTGTAAAAGTGTTCCTATTTCTCCACATCCTCTCCAGCACCTGTTGTTTCCTGACTTTATAATGATAGCCATTCTAACTGGTGTGAGATGGTATCTCACTGTGGTTTTGATTTGCATTTCTCTGATGGCCAGTGATGATGAGCATTTTTTCATGTGTCTGTTGGCTGCATAAATGTCTTATTTTGAGAAGTGTCTGTTCATATCCTTCACCCACTTTTTGATGGGGTTGTTTGTTTTTTTCTTGTAAATTTGTTTGAGTTCTTTGTAGATTCTGGATATTAGCCCTTTGTCAGATGAGTAGATTGCAAAAATTTTCTCCCATTCTGTAGGTTGCCTGTTCACTCTGATGTTCTTTTGCTGTGCAGAAGCTCTTTAGTTTAATTAGATCCCATTTGTCAATTTTGGCTTTTGTTGCCATTGCTTTTGGTGTTTTAGACATGAGGTCCTTGCCCATGCCTATGTCCTGAATGGTATTGCCTAGGTTTCTACTTTATATTAACAACGGCGTTACCAATACCAAGCTGCTTTACTTCTCCACTGAGATAAGTTTGAACCCTTAGCATTTTTCTTGCTTAATTGTCCTCCCTTTTCAAAAGACCCAAATTAATCCTGGTAGTAATTATTAAAGTTTGTACTTGCAAAATAATCTCAATTGGTTGAGGCAAATTTGAACAAAAAAAGTATAACAGAAGCTTCTCATAGTCGGCTGTGAAGTTTGGAAACCTGGTATTCTGCATGGAAAAAGAAAGCCCTGGACACAAAATTATCTAATGGCACATAGACTTTCCACCTTCCCTTTTGTTTAACATACTACAAATATTTGATATTTATGTCAAATAAATGACAGTTACACAGTGTACTGTCATTAGTATACCATGTCACATAAGATAAGGACTTTACAAGAGTATACTTCTCTTTCTTCTCTCCCATTTTTGTTCTATAATTGTCATAAGTTTTATTTCTATGTAAGTTTTAAAACTTATAATATGTTGTTATTTATATGAAAGGATCTTTAGGAGAGATATCTATATTTAATCAACTGAACTCTACACATTTATCATACAATACCTTGGGTCTCTCTAATTTCATAGTGTGAACAAAAGGCAAGAAAGAAACAAAAATATTCTCATTTATCACTGTAGGTCTGCCTTATCTTTTCCTATATTTTCTGGGTTAGTGTCCTAAGGCTGTTGTAACCATGTACCAGAAACTGGGTGATTTAAAACAATGGAAATGTGTTTTCTTACAGTTCTGGTAGGTACAAGTGTAAAAACAAGGTTTCAGAAGGACCATGCTCCCTCTGAAGGGTCTAGAGAAGACTCTGTTCCATGACTCTCTCCTTGCTTCTGGTGGGTGCCAGCAAACCTTGGTGTTCCTTGGTTTTCACATGTTACTTTAATTGTTGCTCCCATGTGCACATGCCATTTCTCCCTGTATCTATGTCTCCATGTCTTCACCCAATCTTATAAAGACATCAGTCAATGGACTTATGAGTGATCTTATTTCAGTATAACCTCATCTTAACTTTATTACATCTACAAACATTCAGTTTTCAAATAAGTTTACATTCATGGGTTTATGGTAGACGTGTATTAGTCATATATATGTAAAGGGGAGTTTATTAAGTAGTATCAACTCACAAGATCACAATGTCCCACAATAGGCTGTCTGCAAGCTGAGGAGCAAGGAAGTCAGTCTGAGTCCCAAAGCTGAAGAACCTGGAGTCTGATGTTTGAGGGCAGGAAACATCCAGCATGTGAGAAAGATGTAGGCTGGGAGGCTAAGACAGTCAAGCCTTTTTACATTTTTCTGCCTGCTTTGTATCCTGGCCATGCTGGCAGCTGATTACATGGTCCCCACCCAGATTAAGGGTGGGTCTGCTTTTCCCAGAACACTGACCCAAATGTTAATCTCCTTTGCCAACACCCTCACAGACAGACCCAGAATCAATACTTTGCATCCTTCAATCCAATCAAGTTGACACTCAGTACTAACCATCACAGCATAAAACTGTGAAATGAACAATCACAGGCTCTTGATGGACAGATTTTGGAGGACACTATTCAACCCACTACTGTCTACATTGTGGCTACCCCAAAATCATGATCTTTCCACAAGCAATATAAATGTACTTTATCCCAACAATCCTCAAATCTTTTTTTAAACTTTCAATTTATGTTCGGGGGTAAATTTGCAGGTTTGTTACACCTGTAAACTTATTCATGGGGGTTTCTTGTACAGATCACCATTATGTCATGGGGGTTTCTTGTACAGACCACCCAGGTATTAAGCCTAGTAGTCATTAGTTATTTTTCCTGATCCTTTCCCTTCTCCCACCCTCCACCCTCTGAAAAGCCACACTGTGTATTTTTCCCCTGTATATGTCCATGTGTTCTCATCATTTAGCTCCCACTTACAAGTAAGAACATGCAATATTTGGTTTCTGTTTCTGTGTTACTTTTCTAAAGTTAATGACCTCCACTTCTATCCATGTCCCAGAAAAGGACACGATCTCATTCTTTTTTATGGCTGCATAGTATTCCATGGTGTATCCTTTATCCAGTTTATTATTCATGGACATTTAGGCTGAAGTTTAATCCATTTTAGCACCAACTCTAAGTCTACAATTTAATCTAAATAACATCAAATCAATAAGTCCCAAGTATTACCTAAGTCATCTAAATCAGGTATGAATGAAGCTCTGAGTATTTCATCTTGGGCAAAATTTCTCTCCATATGTGAATCTTTGACTCTAGAACATAAATTATTTGCTTCTGACATTTTATGGTGGGATAGGCATGGATGTCCTTATTTTTTTAAAAAAAATCACGAAACAAAGGAGCCACTGGCCTTCAACAAGTCCAGATGTCATCAAGGAAAACTCTATTGCCTCAAGTCATAGGAATAATTCTTTCTGGCTTGATGTTCAGAACTCTGAACCCTCTTTGGTGACTTCTGAATCAGGTTCTCCACCTTCTCCATGCATGGTGGCAGCTCCATTTCATCCATGTGCAGTCGCTTCCATGTTATTTTCTCAAGTTTCTGCTCCACTCTAAATGCCAGACCTTGTTAAATATGCTAATTGATATCTCATTTTAAATACTGCCAAACCACCACAATGTACACAAGTTTAAACTGCTGGGCTTTGAACTTAAAACAGTTAATGATACACAAATTATCAACATATGCCAACTAGGAATCTTGAAGAAATTCCTAATATCCCTTGCATCTTCCCTACTATATTAAATTTACAATAAAATTATGTTGGTTGTCATCTAGCTATTTCAAAATAAATCATGTCTATCTCTATTACCACAAAACTAGTCTAATATTCTATCTGATCGGTCTTCTTAATTACTTTTGAACTAATTTACCTTCATCTGCATAGTAAATAGAATAATTTTATTCTCACAATTAATGTCTATTATGTTACCTTCATGCTTAAAAAACTTTTAAAAAACTTTAGTGGCTTTCAATTACTGTCTTTTCTCCCTCTCAGCTACCTGTAACAAGTTCTGCCTACCTTTTCTATCTAATACTGTAACACTTTTTGAATAATTTTCAGTCTTCTAGCTGTTTAATTCCTCCTGCTGTCTTATTTCCCTTTCTAATATGCCTATGCTTATTTCTGAAAGGCTCATTCTTTCCCTATTCACCTAATTAACTTCTACCATATCTCATTTCAAGTTACTTCTTCAGGGAGGACCCTCTGAGATTATGGGGGTCATGTATTTTTGTTCACTGATCCCCAGCACTGAGTGCCTTACATGAAATGGAGTTTCTACAAATGCTGGACCAATGCCACAGAGTGAATAAACATGGATGAGAGATTACATATTATCTGTTTGACTTCAAAGGCTGGGGGAAATTATAAGGAGATAGATTTATAGTTAATATAGAAAGAATGTGCTAACATACATTCTTGTTTATAAATAAAATATGCATCCATGAGGGTCAAATGTTTATCAGAACAATTAGTAATTTCGCTGTTTATGATGTGGCAAGTGAGTCTAAACATTAGCTCTTCTACTACTACCAACAATTGTTCATGGAAGATATAATTAATCTCAATTTTTTCAGATAAAATATCGGCTCCTGTAATAAGCAAAATTGTAGGAATGACTTCCATAAATACTGCCTTCCTGTAATCTTCTCCCTGTGAGTGTGAGTGAAACCTACTAATATGATGAGATATAACTCCCATGATTATATTAAATTATTATATAAAAAAGGGGCTCCTATGGCTGGGCCTAATCTAATCACATACCTTTCTTTTTTTAGTAGAAAATTTTGTCCAGCTGGTGAACATAAGGGGAAGTCTTTCTTTGGTGATATTAAAGATGGGGGGCACTACATGAGAAGGTACACAGGTTGCCTCTAGCAACAAAGGGTGGCCTGTGATTAACACTCAACAAGGAAATGTGCATGTTCAATCTACCTGTAAGGAACTGGATTCTAAGCACAACTTGAATGAGCTTATAAAAAATTCCTCCCCAGAGCCTCCAGAAAAGATCTGTCTGGCCAACAACTAATTTTAGTCTGGTAAGACCCTAAGGAGAAAAAGAGTCAAGCCCACTTATATTTCTAATATATAAAACTGTGAGCTAATAAACTGATGGTGTTTAAGCTGCTAAGTCTGCTTAAATATGCAGAAATAGAAATCTACTGAAGGATAAGTGACTCCCCAAATATTTTTGATCTAAAATGTGACAACAGAAAGACTAAAGCCCAAGACATTTCTAGTTTCAAATATTTTTTTCACTCCATTACCTCTGACTATAATTCTAATAAAACCTACTTTTATTTATTTTAGTAGAATTGTCTTATATAACCAACTGGATATTTCTAAGAATCTCAGAGATTTTAAAAATTATATTAATTAAATTATAAATATAAAAATATAAAGTCAGTAAACATGAACATTCTGTAAAGCAGGCTAGTATTGTATTGGCTACATGAATGCTAATACATTTTCTCTTTAACATGTTTTTAAATGTATTGTGACCCAAGCTTGATGTCAAAATGCATTCAAATTGTATATATATTGCACTAGATGTGAATAACCATTGTTTTTTGATGGTAAATGAAAATAGAATAGTGTGGAGGGATTATTTAGGGATTATTTTAAAAGCTTCACTACCTTTATGCTCATCAATATGATTTGCAGTTCTGCCAGCATAAAAATATTAGGGTATTCAAACTGCATAATTCAAGTTGTTCAAAGATTTTATATGGGACTGATAACAGAAATTTCTCATCTGATAAATAACATTGAATAAATTGCCTAGGCACAGTCTGTTGAGTTTTCATCTTCCTTTGGAACACTAAATATTAGTTATTGCCATAGGAAGAATTTAACATTAGATGGACTCATATTCTGATCCATGGTGGCAATCTCTAAATTTATCATTCTCTCCTATACTTGTTCTGTGTACTATTACTCAGACCACGCTATTTACACCAGCTGCATTCGCTTGTTCAGTACAACTAAGACATTTATCCTTCAGCTCATCCACCTGATCTGCTATACTGCCCCTCCCATTCTCATTGGAAACAAACTATATGTCATAATTTTGTCTCCTGTGTGAGTTGATTGTTTGAAAACATCACGCATTCGTTATCAGTCTCTCTGTTCAATCTCCTAGCAATGCAGTTAACTGAAAACTTCCCCAGAAGTGCCTCTTGCTTTTCACTAGCTTTACTATAAAAGCAGTCTTAACTCATATGCATTTTTTCAAATTTCTGCATGATTGCTGTTTACCTATTCTGCAATTCAAGAGGAACCATTGAAATATATATAAACATTTGATTTTTAAATGATCAAAGCATAATCTTGTTATTAGAAATTATAAAAAAACATAATATTATTCTTAAAGACTGAAAAAATAAAAGAAAAAATGTGAAGGAAAGAGGAAAAGTTACATGAGCCAATCACTCAATTATCTATTGAAAGCTGTCGTAATCAAAATCATTTTCTCCACATGTATTAAAGAGAAAGAGATCAGCATGTGTTCAGGAACTGGGGCAGTAGACAGAGGGTTGTAATGAGCTCAGAATCTTATACATAAATAATTCGACCCAATGTGGTAGCTATAAGAACATATTTATAGACAAATAAACTATCTATACTACTGTATTAGGAAAATATGCAAAAACAGAATGGCACACATATTCAGATTCAAAGGAAAATACATTGTCACAATTGGAGAAGGTAGGAAGGAAGCGCCCAAAATATTTCAAGTGTGGCATTTCCAATCAGCATTGATAGATGTAATTAGGGTTCCACTCTACAAATTGTTCACAGTGAGGGTAAGAAGGTAAACAAGAATCAAAGGGTTTTGTCTGTGATGAAGATTCATTTTTCCCCTGGGAAAAGGGAAAATAACTGGAATTTCTTTGGCAAAAAAAGTATGGTTTTTTTGTTTGTTTGTTTTAGAAAATAAATAGACATGGTAGGGGTTAGTGTAAATCCAAAAAGGATATTGCTGACATGATGAGTCTTTTAAAAACACTGTTGGGTTGTAGTGAAATGGTGAGCTCAGGCAGTTGCCAGGGAAACGGAGATGGACTTACAAGACATTATTTTAGGAAAATTGGATATAGCATGTAAGAATTCATAGATTACTCAGACTTTTCTAAACTGTGCTGCTGAAAAGATAATTAAAGATGAGGATATGAGATATAAAATAATTATTATTAACTACTTAAGAGAATATTTGCTTACCATTATAGTCATTTAAGTGTAGTAACTATATTCACTAGGATTTTTGTAAATCATTTTTGATTGGCATTAACATTTAATCTGTATTAGCGTTCTTCAGAGAAATAGAACCAATAGGATACACACACACACACACACATAATATACATATACATACACACAGAGATGGAGAGAATGGCAGGAGAGAGAAGAGAGAGAGGGGAATTTTGTATTGCAAGGAATTATCTCCTGCAATTACAGAGGATGAGAAGCCTAGACCAGAACAGCCAGTGGCATAAGTTGCAATCCAAGTCCAAGTCTCAAGGCAGGAGAAAATCAATGTTCCAGCTTTCAGACAGGCAGGTAGAATTCACTTTGCCTTTTTGTTCTGTTCAGGCTTTCAATATATTGGATGATGGGCATTCATTCACACTGGGGAGGATAATATGCTTTACTCAGTTTACAGATTTGAATGATAGTCTCACCTGGAAACACCTTCACATACACACCCAGAAATAGTTGTTAACCAGGTATTTAAACACCCTGAGGTCCAGTCAAGTGAACACATGCAATGATTAATTATGTGGCCTTATTTTACTTTTTGAGTAAACTAATAAAAAACAATAATTTATTTCATAATAGTTGCATATAGATAATGAAATACTTCCCCTAAATTCACTGCATTACCACATCAAGCAATTCTTAATATAATGTATTTACCTTAATATTAAAATCAATGAGATTTTATATTGGGAAAATTATTCTCACTGAAATGTTAATTAACAATTGCTTTGAGAATATATAACAGATAGCTGAAAGTAAAGCTAAGAAATGGCTTTGTATGTCTTTTGAGAATAATATTATATTGTCTATTCTATATCAACTATGATTTCAAACTATCACAGCTCCAATAAAACTAAATTTTTTCTTCTTATACTTGAGATAATTTAGATCCCATTTGTTTTTCTCCACCCCTCTTTCTAAACTCAAATTATCTAACCAAAAGCTACTAATGTGCAACCTCAATCTGGCTGCCTCTTATTTCTATTATGTAACTAATAGAGCCTCAGTTTCCCATTAGTCTTGAGAACGTGAACAGTATTCAATTCTAGGAATAACCAGAACTATGATTGACCTTCACCAATCTGTATTCTCCCTGCAGAACACACATTTTAAAGCTGTTCTTTCACATTGCAATGTTTTAATGAAAGGCTTGACATAATTATTTTGTTTTATGTTTTCCTTCCACAAAGCCCATTATTGGTAGGACAAGTTTTGACTTACTTTTCCAGTATTAATCAGAAATAAGAAATGTGGATTCTACTTTACTTTGGATAAACAGAGAGTTATTGAAAGTCTCTGAGCAAGGAAATCGATTTACAGGAACTGCCTCTATAAGATGATTGATTTGAAAAATTTGGAAACATATGTTAAGTTGAAGAAAACAAAAGAAGAGTTTCTTAGATGATTTTAAATAAAAATGAAGGCCTGGTCTGGACCTATGCCAGTGAAAACAGAAAGGAAAAAAGTTAGTTAAAGCAGCAGACTTATAAAAGTATTAGAAATTGAATTTACCTCTACAATTTTGAGCCTGGGTAATTTACATAGGGAGGAAAGTTTAGAAAAGGAAGAGAGAATTTTACTTTTTGAGTCAGGAGAATGAGATGTTTGTTAGAAGGAATGATGGAGAAAAACTTAATTTTAAACTTAAAAGTAATAAAATCATATGGGATTTCAAGTAAGTCATCAAAAAGAGGATCTGACGCTTAGAAGAAAGAAATGACTTCAAATGAATTTTCGTGAGTTACCTGTATAGACAGGATGTGGAGTCAAGAAATTCCCGAAGTTGGGAGCAAAACAGGGAGAGAGAAAAGGCCTAGGAGTAGGCTAAAATGACAGAGAGAGAGAGAGAGAGAGATTATTTTTTGTTGGAAGAAACTTGAATAAAATCAATTATATTTCAACAAATCTAATGTGCTATCAATGATAGGATTCACCATTATTTTATGCACCATGGAAGATGAATAAAGATTCTAAGACCAAGATGTGTATATTAGAATCAAGGAAACTTAGTATGTTTAGGATACACAAAGGGGAAGAGCCAAGAATGGATTCTAATTATATATTTTAAATTTTATTTTTAATTTTTTTTTTAGATAAGCACTTTCTCTGTCACCCAGGCAGGAGTGTAGTGGCACTATGTTGGCTCATTACAACCTTTGCCTCCCAGGCTCAAATGATCCTCACACCTCAGCTTCCTGAGTAGCTGGAACCACAGGTGCATACCACCATAATCGTCTAATTTTTAAATTTGTTTTATAGGGACCAGGTCTTACTATATTGCCCAGGCTGGTCTCCAACTCATGGGCTCAGGCAATCCTCCCGCCTCTGCCTCCCAAAGTGCTGGGATTATAGGTGTGAGCCACCACACTAAAATTTATTTGATTAGGTGTTTTATAAAGAACAATTTACAATGCTGAGTTGCATAGGGTATGTGTCTGTGTCTAATAGCTAATGAGTAGATGGCTATAATATCAGTCATCTAAAAATTAATTGAGGTGGATGAGGCTGAAACTTTGATCTGAACATCACAGCAAAATAATGGTTTTTGAAATTACCATGAAATAAAGTTGAGAGAAGGAAATATATTTGAATGCATTAATTTCCAAAGTGAAAATAATGTTAAATGATTTTGTTAGTATAAAAGTCCAAAGTTGGAACAGGAACTCTACTCATCCATTTCCACTATTAATTTGAGTTTGTCCAAATGAAATAAGTATCAGCTTCCCCTAAAGAGGGTTTCAAAAAGCTTGGTATCATCAGGAGAAAACCAAGAAACCTTATAATTCACTTAGAACTAGTAGGTGAAAGAAGGGTCTACAAAAATTTAAATATTGAAGAAAGATGTTACCCATGGATAAGAGACAGATTTACTTGCTCAGAAAATCTTTAAAATATAATATTACCAGAAAAATGTTTCTGGAAGCAATATCTCATGATTGGTATATTTGGAAAATATTTTGAGAAAGAATTCATTATTGAGTATCAAGCACTGAAACTATGCTTCTACTCAAAAAAAAAAAAACCCAACAGCATAAAAACTCTAAATTACATGGTTTTAGTCTCACTCATTTATCATAGTGCTGGGTGAGAAAGGCTATTTTGAGAAAAAAAGAAATTTAAGAACGACGATATACACAAAATTGCTTTATACTAATCTAAAATACTCACTTAATATGGAGAGATGAAGTAATACCAGTGTATTAGTCCATTTTCATGCTGCTGATAAAGACATACCAGCGACTTGGAAGAAAGAGAGGTTTAATTGGACTTACAGTTCCACATGGTTGGGAAGGCCTCAGAATCATGGTGGGAGGTGAAAGGCACCTCTTACATGGCAGCAGCAAGAGAAAATGAGAAAGATGAAAAAGCAGAAACCCCTGAGAAAACCATCAAATCTTGTGAGATGTATTCACTACCACAAGAATAGTATGGCAGAAACCATCCCCATGATTCAATTATCTCCCACCGGGTCCCTCCCACAACACGTGGAATTATGGGAATTCAATTCAAGATGAGATTTGGGTGGGGACACATAGCCAAACCATATCATTCCACCCTGGGCCCCTCCAAATCTCATGTCCTCACATTTCAAAATCAATCATGCCTTCCCAACAGTCTCCCAAAGTCTTAACTCATTTCAGCATTAACCCAGAAGTCCACAGTCCAAAGTCTCATCTGAAACAAGGCAAGTCCCTTCTGCCTATGAGTCTGTAAAATCAATAGGAAGCTAGTTACTTCCTAGATACAATGAGGTTACAGGCATTGGGTAAAGACAGCTATTCCAAATGGGAGAAATTGGCCAAAGCAAAGGAGTTATATGGACCATGCATGTCCAAAATCCAGCGGGGCAGTAAAATTCTAAAGCTACAAAATAATCTCCTTTGACTCCATGTCTCACATCCAGGTCATGTGGATGCAAGAGATAGGTTCCCTTAGTCTTGGGCAGTTCTGCCCCTGTGGCTTTTCAGGGTATAGCCCACCTCCGGGCTGCTTTCACAGGCTGGCATTGAGTGTCTGAGGCTTTTCCAGGTCTACTGTGCAAGCTGTCAGTGGATCTACCATTCTGGGGTCTGGAGGACAGTGGCCCTCTTCTCACAGCTCTACTAGGTGGTGCCGCAGTATGGGTTCTGTGTGGGGGGTCCAACCCCACATTTCCCTCCCACAATGCCCTAGCAGAGGTTCTCTCTGAGGGCGCTGTCACTGCAACAAGCTTTTCCCTGGGCATCCAGGCATTTCCATACATCTGCTGGACCAGATGGAACAGAGGGTACCAAGTCCCTAGGCTTCACACAGCATGGAGACCCTGGGCCCAGCCCATGAAACCATTTTTTCCTTCTAGCATTCTGGGTCTGTGATGAGAGGGGTGGCCATGAGACCTATGACATGCCCTGGAGACAATTTCCCCATTGTCTTGGGGACTAACATTCTGCTCCTTGTTACTTATGCAAATTTTTTGCAGCCAGCTTGAATTTCTCCTCAAAAAATGGGGTTTTCTCTCTGCATCATCAGGCTGCAAATTTCCTGAACTTTTATGCACTGTTTCCCTTTTAAAACAGAGTGCTTTTAACAGCACCCAAGTCACTGCTTGAACGCTTTGCTGCTTAGAATTTTCTTCCATCAGATACTCTTAATCATCTCTCTCAAGTTCAAAGTTCCACAAATCTCTAGGGCAGGTCCAAAGTACCACCAGTCTCTTTGCTAAAATGTAGCAAGAGTCACCTTTGCTCCAGTTGCCAACAAGTTCCTCATCTCCATCCGAGACCACCTCAGCCTGGACCTTAGCATTCATATTGCTATCACCATTTTTGTCAAAGCCATTCAACAAGTCTCTAGAAGATTCCAAACTTTCCCACATTTTTCTGTCTTCTCCTGAGCTCTCCAAATTGTTCCAACCTCTGCCTGAAAGTCAGTTCCAAAGTCGCTTCCACAATTTTGGGTATCTTTTCAGCAGTGCCCCACTCTACTGGTACCTCCCACAACACGGAATTATGGGAGTACAATTCAAGATGAGATTCGGGTGGGGACTCACAGACAAACCATATCAACCAGTATTATCAGCAGTAACCTTATTGGAAATTTGGTTTAGCAGAAAAAAGAAAATAATGGCATACCAGATCAATCTCTTTTGTTTTTCTGTCACTTTGCTGGCCCAGACCAGGAAAAGTTGTTCCAGACCTTATGTAAATTCTGCGCTCCTGACAAATTTATCTTCGTGTAGTTCACTGTTAATTGTAAAACCAACACTATTAGCATTAATGCCCTGTATGTTAGTTTTACTGATAGAGAGTAACAGATAGTGCAAACACTGATGATATTTGGTGCCAAACATCATTAAAATCTCACTTAAGGTGAGTTTTCAGCAGGTTTTCTAGTAGACAAAGCCATCTAATCCTGGAATTTATGAAGAAATTGGGCTTATTGACATTTCCATCACTTGCTTGATTTCCATGGTTTTAATAAAGGACTGTGGAATTAGGATAATTGGGTATGAGAAGTTAATCTTGTTCTTTTGTAAAAGGTGTTTGACAGTGATGTGTTGGCGAATGATTAGCAATCATTTATCTGACAGCAAACTAAAATCCCTGATTCACAGTTTTCTTTCTCATGTCCAAGGTGCACATATTTTGACTATAGCTGATATTAAACTACCAATGTGATAGTGCCAATTGTCTCCCAAAACCTTTGAACATTTTACAGTTGGCCATTGAGAGTGAGTGTTAACTGGACCCAGCATATCACTTCCTGTTGATGTATCAAAGCAATATAATTTAGTAGACAATGTTCTGGATTTCGGATTGGGAAATTTAGATACTTACATTATCTTTACATCAGCCTTTTAAAATTTGTTGACCAAGAACTATTCTATCTCCTTTAGCCTTCCCAGCATCAACTACATTTCCTGGCACCTGAGATATTCACAAGAAGATGGTAGAAATATAAATAACACAGATCTAATCTTCTTATTTTATATTTGGCATGAAAAATATTTCATGGTAATTTCACTTGCATATTAATAAAATAATACAGTAATAGAGTTAAATATTCTCTTAAATTTACCTTAACATTTATTGTAATTACATTTATTTGCATATTTAGGAAGGTAAAATTTAATAAGTGGTTCATAGATGTTTTGAACATGAACACATGATTAAGTGTTGTTCTGCCTTTCATAGTGTTTATCTATGGACTGATTCTTTTCTCTTTCTATAGGTCTACATCATGCATTCTCAAAAGGTTTCTGGGATCTTACTATTTTTATGTATTAGACACAGGTACATAAAACATGTATCTTTGGCTGTAAAATTTGATGATGAAGAGTGATTAGAAAAAAATATTTAAAAAGCTTTGTACAGGGGCAATAAGAAAAAAATAAAGTTTGAAGAGCAATGGTCTTAATCAATGCTGTCTAATACAACTTTCTGTTATGATGGGTATATTCTGCTGTGTGCTGTGTAGTTCTTTGTCTATTTAGCATTTGAAATGGCTAGTCTGACTAAATAACTGAATTTTGCATTCAATTTACTTTTAATTAAATTTAAGTATGTGTGTGCTGAAAACTGTAGTATTGGACAACACAGTTTTACATTCTAGTGATAAAGATCATATTTAATGGGGTAAGGTCAATTATAAAAAAGAAATCATTTAAGCAATCAGTTAACACTTGTTACCATCTACATTCTTTTTTCTTATAGTAAAATATTTGATACCAGTGGCTTTATGATTCTATACCCCATGGATTTACCTTTAGTTCTCAACGAGCAATGAGGGTTCAGTGTTATCCACAACAAATGAATCATAAATTTAAGGGCTATCCATTAGTTTCGAAGTCCTCTGCCATCTTTCCCTTGGAATTTGAAAACATGTGGATATGAAGGAATCTAAAATGTTCTCCCATCACTTGGCCTGTTAGCTGGGAATCAACCCATTAATTCAAATGTAGAGAAGAAGAAATTCTCAAATCCTATCTTTTATTATTGATTTTCATAACATCCTCTATTAGAACTGCAGAGCACTCAGAAATCATAGACTGCAAGTTACATTTTTATTATTTCACTTTTTATGGATTAATTTTATTGCACATGTTACAAATTGAGGCACCAGTTATCTTTACTTACCCCATTCCTAGATAATAATAATAGTATGTGACCATTTTAAACACCATGATAATCTTATAGCAATAATATGTAAAGTAGATATTATGACTGCTTTACGGATGTGTTGTAGCAAAATTAAGTTCACCTGAACTAATAAGTAGCAAAAGCAAAGTTCTTAATCAGGTTTATTTGACTCCATATTTGAGTTCATAACCACAACTATGTAGTGCTACACATCACGTGAGTAAAATTAAAGTGCCCTACTTAGAATGATCTTACATGTATGCATATGTCCATATGCATATGCTATAGTCTGAATGTCCCCCAAAATTCATGTGTTAAAACTTAATCTCCATTTTGGTGATATTAAGAGGTGGGGATTTGGGGGGAAGTGATTAAATCATGAGGGCTCTTCCCTCATGAATGGATTAGTGCCTTATGAAAAGGCTGGAAGGTAGACCCTTCCTATTTGTCCTTCCATCCCTTCTATTATGTGAGAACACAGGGTTCCTCCCCTCTAGGATCCAGCAACAAGGCATCGTCTTGAAAACAGAGCAGCATTTACCAGGCACCAAACCTGTCAGCACCTTGATCTTGGGCTTTATAGCCTCCATAATTGGGATAAATAAATTTACTTTATGTAAAAATCAACTAGGCTCAAGTATATAATTATAGCAATACAAACAGGCTAAGACAGTACATATTAGGAGAAAAAAAGGGAAAACTTGCCTCCTAGTCTAAACTTTTAAACAAATTAAATACAACTCTCTATGTTAAAAACTATTTTGTATCAGTGTCTTACTGCCGGCAACTTTTTAATAAGCTTATTTTCCCTGTAAATTTGTACTATAAAGGAACACTGTTATATAGAAGTAAAATGTATTAGAGTCACAGTACACAAAATCTGAAAGACCATGTAATGAAATTTTGGGTATTTTTGTTATAGTAAATTTTTAATAAAATTATTATGTAACTGGTAGGATCTATAAAAATTATATGTGGAATTGATAATTATCTAATGACTAATGAAATTTATGTATCCAATCTAGCTTTTCAAAATGAAGTGATCGATTTTCATTGTATTTATAGTGAACTGCTCAAGCAAAAATTAATTCAGTATGATTGCTTTGGATCAATGCAGCAGAAATAAGGGCAGATCTCAAAAGTATAGCAAAATGTTTTTAATTACAAGATGTTAATCATCAAGAATAATGACAGAATTTCTGTTATGAATAAAATATATAATTGGTAAGACTTGAGAAGTAGGTAAAATTAAGCCTGCACCTTAAATTCTATATGTCACATATTTTTCTAAACTGTTTCTTAATATTGAACTCCCAATACAGATTACAATTTACCATGGAGCTGCAGCTCCTCCTAGTTGCTTAGGGCTCATATTTAAAATGCAAAAAATTGTATCATAGGTATTGAGTCAACACTAACCAAGTCAGGCATTAAACAAAAATGTTGTAAGTGGAGCATAAGGAAACAAAGTGAATGAATTTCAGTTCTACAACTCCACAGGAAATTTATGGAAAGATAATGTCTACCAATTCTGATAGCATTTATTTAATGAAATAAAATCACATAAGCAGTAATTTGTTATGCATTATCAAATAACAGCTCTGTGTGTGCGTGCATGCGTGTGTGTGTGTGTGTGTGTGTGTGTAGAGAAACAGAAAGAGAGGAAGACTCACTATATTATAGCCATATTGTTACATATCATTTAGTCTAACAAAACATTAAATTTCCAAATGAAAATGTTTAATGACAGAAATTTCAATCAGATCAGCAAGCCTGCAAATGCTGTGTGCACTGTTTTACTCTCATTTAACCAGCATCCCTAGGCAAAAGAATAGATAGAGAACCAGATACCACTTGAAATGCTGGCCTTAGAAACTTCTGGTCCTGGATCTTCAGACACAAAGAATTAATGTAAAAATGTACATCAGCATTAAGTTTGGCAAATATATCTTATTTTCTTGATCTGATAAGTCAGTTCTCAATCTTTAGGCTCATCAGTTTAAATGTTATTTTAAAAAGAAAGTGGATGAGAAAGGGGAACAGATTCACAGTCAAATCCCAAACTATGCTATATTTATGAAATACATGTAAAACTAAATGGCACAGAAACACTAAAAATAAAAGACTAAGCAATAATACATCAATGTGTTTGAACAAAAGAAGCAGAAATAGTAACATTACTGTAAGAATCACTGTGATTATTTTAAAACAAATTGGTTATATATAAAGCACACAAAAATATTCGTTTTTTTAAAGTTTGTATAAATTTAAGAGATATAAGTGCAGTTTTGTTATATGCATATATTGCAAGGTGGTGAAGTCTAGACTTTTAGTGTAGTCATCACTTGAATGGTGTATATTGTTCTCATTGCATAATTTCTTATCACTCAATCTCCTCTCACTCTCCCACCCTTCCTAGTCTTCAATGTCTATTCTTTTTCAGATAGTTTGCTATTAGCATATAGAAATGCCACTGATTTTTGGTAAGTTGATTTTGTATCCTGCAGTATACTAAACTCATATGTTGATTCCAAAAGTTTTTTGGTGGACTCTTTAGGATATACATATATATATATATCCTATATATATATATATCATATACATATCATATATCATATATATCATATATCTATCATATACATATCATATATCATATATATCATATATCTATCATATACATATCATTATATATATATGTCATCTGAAAACAGGGACAATGGGACAATTTGACTTACTCTTTTTTCATTTTGATGTTTTTTATTTCTTTCTCTTACCAAATTGCTCTGACCAGAACTGTCAGTACTATTTTGAATAGAAGTGGTGAAAGTGGACATTCTCATCTTGTTTCAGTTCTTAGGGGAAAAGATTTCAATTTTCCCCCCTTTCGTATGTTGTTAGCTATGGCTTTGTCATATATGACCTTTATTTTGCTGAAGTGTGTTTCTTCTATGCCTAGCTTATTGAGGATTTTTATTATGAAGAGATGTCAAATATCAAGTGCTTTTTAAGCATCTAGAGTCTAACCCATTAAAACATAATTTTCTCATTAAAAACAATACATGTACAAGATAAAAAATGGAAATTGCAGATAAAACATAAAAAGTAAAGATTACAAAATGCCTACCACAAAAAGTGAACAATAACAATTTTTTATTGCTATAACCTATTAAAGATGGATTTATTATTAGTTTTATGCAGTTCATAGGATTTGATCACATGAATTCTTATTTAGTAACAGTATATTCTGGAAATCCCCCATGCCATTCATTAAATTTCCACAGCATTTTTATAATAACTGTCAAACTTTTCATCATGAGGCTATACTATAATTAATGTGTCTCTAGTTTATACATTTATATATTTTCCAATGTCTCACTTTTTTCAAACCACTGAAATAATCATCTTCCTAGGCACATTTCAAAAGTGGAATTTCACAGAAATGTGTGAAATTTTTATTATATTTGTCTTTTATCACATTTGAAGAGATTATTTACAGCATTTCACTAAAATTGCTCTCTAAATTATGCCGTTTTCTACATTTTGGCAAGTTTTCACAAATTGCAGACCAATCGAGATTGTAACCATGTGCTCATTTGACTGCATGTTCATCGCTACTGGATATTGCTATTTTCAATAGAAAATTTTTATCTTTTTTATGAAAAAAATTTTGGTAAAATTATGCTTCACTATTTTAATATGCATGTTACTGCCTGCTAGTGAGGTAAACAGTAGTGAGCTAAAATACTCATTTGACATGAAAATTTTGCCTAGAAAAATATTTCCCTGCATAAATTGTCTACAGAGATAACCCCCAAAAATATATGTGTGTGTATGCATAAAGATCTTCATTAGTTATTTTTATTGGTGAAATGTTGAAATAACCATTATTTTGAAATTAGATTACTGTATATATTATTCATGGAAGAATACATTGCCATATATTTATAGTGTGTATATATATATATAAAATAAATCATAATATATTCATGATATGTATTCCTCATAGAAGAATGTATATATTTTGCAATCATTAAAATGATATGACTGAAGACCATGTCACCAAATGAAAAAAAACATGACATGTTATAATTGTTTAAGTAATTATTTTTTACATTGAGAAAGTGCCAATGTATGTATGTATGGAGGCATGTGGAAAAAATTAAAACATAAGTAATATATAAAAATTACGATTATGAGATTTGAGCGATTATTTTCATTTGCTTGTATTTACTCAACTTAAAACATTTTAATATGTTTTTACAATAAAAATGGAGGAAAGGGAGGCATTTGACCATTAGCCCAAAAGAAGTAGAGATGTCTTTTATACATCGTTTATTTTTATTGCTAATATCATCATCTTAATTTAGGTCTTACTGATTCACAACTGAACTGATAATACTACCACGTTACTGCACTCATTGTCTCGAGCCTTGGCACATAGTTTTCAATGTTGTTTCATTCTATTTTTATAGAATAAAGTTTAAATTTGTTATAATATGTACACAGTTGATTCAAATGTTTAGCAGTGAATATTCTCATAATTGACTCTATGTGTTGAAACCCAGATCTATTAACCCAGTTTACAACAGCCTGATCTTCAAGAGGTTGTATATTATCCTGTGGCTATGTTTGCTATGTAAAATAAGGACACAACTGGTACCTAAGTCTGGTGTCATGCTTTTATCACCAGTGCTTACCTAGTACATAAGATTCAGTGAGTGTTGATAATGAAATAATTGTATTGTCATCTTGGTATTAAAATATTGCCACAAGTTTTTTTTAAATTCTCAGCCACATTATGCTAATTAGTGACTGTGTTAGTCTATAACATTGTGAGGAATTGTCTGCTACACACACATATGCAGACACACACCACATACTTTCTTCTATCATTTCAACAGCTCCCTCAACAACAATCTCTATTGCCTCTCCTCATCCTTATTATGCACATGTTTCTAGTTCTCTAACACTCTGCTCAACCCCAAATTAATACTTAGGAAAGTACCTTTCCAGTGGTGTGATGGAGAAAGCTAATAGTGCTCATGAGAGCTGAATATTAATTTTTATAAACTTTGTTGGTTTGTAGACATAATTTCAGGACATTGAAATAAAAAAGATGGGAGTACTGCATCAGGGGAATTAAACTATGTTATAAATAAGCCCTTGCTTCCTGATTTTTTTTCTTCCAAGAGCCAGTTAAACATTTACTAGTACAAAACTATAACTTTACATCTTTAAACTCCTTTTATTTCTGCATAACACACATTGGGCCACTCATTTTAAATCAGAAGATGTTACTTCAAAGCTTATTTTTGCTATTATTTGATATTGGACTGTCTCTCAATAGTACAACCATCAGTTAGCCTTATCTATTTCCTGTGGTTAACATCAACTTAACAGGTTGGTTTATGCATAAATCAAATTAACAACTAAGAATTGTGTTTGTTAATCAAAACATACAACATAGAAAGTCCTGTGATTATCACTTAACATTTTATTTCACCTGGTCTTTAAAATTAAACATTATAGAGACTTAGTATTTTTAAAATGCCACTCTAGAAACAATACTCTTTTATCAAACTATGAATTAGGTGCAGCTTATAAGCCATTGCCTTTGCCTATA
The DNA here is from genome assembly GCF_000001405.40 of Homo sapiens. Classification (NCBI taxonomy): domain Eukaryota; kingdom Metazoa; phylum Chordata; class Mammalia; order Primates; family Hominidae; genus Homo; species Homo sapiens. Next base: position 64,834,639 of record NC_000006.12, on the reverse strand, counting down.
ACTTTGAATAAATAAAATGTTATGCTATTGATTTAAGGATTAAAGCAAGCACCTCCAATAAGATGTTTTCTTAATTTTGGAAAATTAAATCTCAAATTAACTAGGTCACTGGATTTTTTAATTATGGATTTTTACTTCTATGACAAAATTGACTTAGTCTTTAAAGTGTGCTTCCTACTTAAGTAAACTATGGAATTAGCCATATGGAGAACAGTAGACATTATATTAATTTCAATTTTTTCCATTTTTTCATGCAGCTCTGTATTAAAAATAGTAGCAACTAGAAATGAATTTACTATGAAGCTAATATGTTTAAACTTTAACCTCTTTACACAGAAGGGGTTGTGCTAACATATTGTGCCTTATTTTATATTTGTAATCATGAGCTTTTTTTAAATTAAAGAATACCTCCAAAATTTTGTAAGTTTCAGATCGCTTTTTGGTTCCGATAAAGAACATTTATTTTCCACTCTGAGTGTTCTGGCTCACAGCTTGATCTTAGTGACTGCTGGGTCTGCTTTGTTTTCCCAAAGGGTTTCTCTTGAATGCATTCGATTGACTCATTGGACCTAAATCAGTCTTTATGTCAGAATGTGTCTGTGCCTAACCTGGAGAGGATAAACAAAATCCTTAAATTTCATCAAGGCCCTGGTTTGGGGCCCATTCAAATGAAGAATTAAAATTAGAATTTTTCATTGATCTCCAGTTACTTGGTAGAGTTGTCAGAAATAAGAGAAACATACATTGTAAAATGTCACAAATTTTGTTCAAAGCCCCAGGATTCTGTAAAAGTGATTCCATTTGTCATCTTCTAATAACATAATTTTAGGCCATTCAATCTTACATTTTTTTAATTATAAAAGAAAGATTTCAGTGCTTATCATGTACTTTCCTTATGTGGAAATATAATTTTAACTAATAATGGCAATTAAAGCCTGACTCATTCATTTCTAATTGTTACAAAATACAAAAAATTACAAGCTACTTTGATTCAAAAAATTTACACATGAGCTCACTGATATGAGACACATTTTTGTTGTTATATGTATCTTCAGAGGTAATAATAAAATTATGTAATGATTGTTTTGACCTATGTATAACCTCATGTTTCTATGCCTCACTTGATAGCTCATGAAGTCTGCATAGTCACAGAAGAAATGTTGGGGCTGCTAAGAAGGGTGAGCAACAGCAACACCCAATGGCTAGTTACTTAACATTTCAATATTTTTACACTAGTCATGCCGGTACATCCCACTGATTATCAGCCTTGTTTATCTGAAGCAAAATTGTCCTATAATTCACATTTTAAGCATAATTAAAATGTTTTCCTAGCTACACACAGGTTACCTAAAACCGAATGTTTTCACAAAATCATTATTCATTTAAAGAATTGTTTTGATGGCAAGCTGGTTTTCAATCCTATTCAGTGTAGTCCTACTGAAATACTTTACCATGTAAAGATTGTGATGTACATATAAGTGAAATAGTATTGTGGTATTGAAGTACAAGAAATAAGGTATGCATAATCAGAAACAGAGTTGTGTGCATTAATGTTTATATGTAATAAGCCATAAAATTAGTCCTAATGATCTCAATTCTCATTCTTATGAGTTGGAATGGGGAATGTGGCAGGGTCTAATGGTTGGAGCTCAATGATGCACATAAGAATATTTGAGGCACTCATTTAGACAAGCTTAGAGCAATCATTTCTAAAGAATGTCCTTTGAACTAAAGAATGTCCTTTGAAATACTTAGATTGCAGTAACTTTGTGTAGACACATTTAATACTCACATTAGCCCTATGAGGTAGAAATCATTATTGTATATGTGATTAATAAGACTTCATTTGTAGCTTCGTGAGATACAATGGATATCCAAAAACACTACATACATTTAATATGTGCATCTTGACTAATTTTGACATATGCATATATCCATGATACTGTCACCAAAATCAAGATAACAAACATATTCATCACCTCCAAAAATTTTCTCATATTCTTTTTTGTGTGTATGTGTTATTTATTTATCTTTTTTGTGGTAAGAATATTTAACATGCAACCTATCCTAATACTCTAAAGTGAACAATACTATATTGGTAACTATAGGTACTATAGTTAATAGCTTATCTCTAGAAATTATTCATCTTGCATAAGTGAAATTTTATGCCATTGAACAACTACGCATTTTCTCCCACTCCTAGCCTCTAGAAACCACCATTCTACTATCTGTGTCTATAAGTTTGGTGACTAGATACCTCATACAGATAGAATCATGCAGTGTTTATTTTAATCATAACAGAACCTAGGAACTAAACAGTACTTTAAATAATGAGCTATTTTCTGCATTATATTAGCAAGGATTAGAATCATTTGTTTGAAATAAAATTTCCTGATTGTATTAGTATTAATGTTAGTTGATAAATTATAGCCATGTACATGCGTATGAATGTGTGAAGTTTATAAGTTTTGACAATATTTTAACATGTTAATCAGAGTTAATACACAGGGCCCTCAAATAATAAGTAATTATGTATTAATTAGAACAGAAGTCCGACTCATCTATAAACTGTTACTTCTATTGTCTAATATCTTTCATTTTTAATCAATCCTCATATGCCTGTTTGTACTTAGAGATATTCTGCATCTCTTCACCTTGAACAACTTCTCACTTTCCAAAGCTCTCAACATAGTTGCCTAATTAAACACACGCCTCATTTCACATACCTTTCTTGACTCACTCATTTAGAATGATCTAAAAACAATGAGTAACTAATATGAATCAGAATATTGTTTTTGCTTGTCTTAGCAATTTTGTGAAGGATATTTTGAATGTCTTCTTTAAAATTTTTTACAATGACATAGTAATTGTTTTTATAACTTTTACAATAAACTGTGAAGTCCTCTAACAACTGGCCGCATTCTTGTGGTAACAAAGTCTAAGAGAGAGAAGACTTCATTTAATTGTGGCCTGATATTGAAGAATTGCCCCCATTCTTTTCATAAAAGAGGTAGGAAAATATAAGGAGAAATAAGATTTAAATGAACATCATTATCATCATCATTTTCATCATCAAATATTTATTGATACTTGTCCTTTTCCAAACCTCTAAGGACTACTGTAATGAATTTTAAAAGCATCTGTCCAAACCTGGGATATTTATAGACAGGAAAATAAAGCATCAGTAAAAGTTCCTTGGAGAGCTTCTGAAAACAGATATAATATTCTAATAAATTCTTTCCAAACAATGAAAATATTAGCAAATGATTGTTAATCAAATGCTAAATCTATGCTGGTTTAATCCAGTATTTGATATATACCGCCAATATTTTTATTAATGATATACATTTTCCTAGTAACTACTTCATACACTTTCAACATTTTTTCCTAAGTTTTTTGACAAAAAAATTTAAAAGCATTCCTATGGAAAAGATTAATTTCCAGGAAACTTTTTCATAGGTTAGGCTTCCCAAGAAAGAGACTGCAATTTACATGTAGGTGAGTTATCAGTGACTACTTTCAACAGCAATGCCTGCGAGGGGAAAGAGAAGTAGGACTGGGAAAGGAAGATGTTGAGCTAAGATGTAGTTATAACAGAAGCCTCAGTTGATCCCTCCAGGAACTATGAAGTGGGGATGGCCCCTTCATAGTTGACCCATACTGAGTCGCCTTCACTCATTGCACAGCAGAGGGGAGGCCCAAACTTGGGCAAGGCAGACCCCTTTGGCCAAGCAAAATTCAATTCCTGGGGAAGAATTGCACTTAGAACTTGGTAGGAAACTCCTCTATTTGTGGAATTGAGTGTTGCTGTTCTGAATGGGGACCTGGAATGCTCATTACTTTATCTATTATAGTCAACCCTTTGTGCTGCTCAGATCTACCTGCTTTCTAAAATAAGTACACCTAATCTGGAAACAGATACCCAAAATTATAATTTGTCTCTTCCTGGGTAAATAGACAAGATCACTTTCAGGGATTACTGGGAAGAACTCCAATTTCTGTCACCAAAGTTGATCTTGGTACTGCATCTGATACTTCTCTTCCTCCTCTCCTGTGCAAATTATATTACCCTCATCCTTGGCTAGAAAATATGCTGGCCTACTGGATTACCTGGTGAATTAATCTAGAAACTCATGCCTGACAGTTAATCTCCTAGTAAGGCTATGACTTTTTTGTTTGTTCATGAATGACAATGAAGACTCTGCTCAGTAGATCACCTTAATGTCACATATTTTTATCCTTGTCCCTACTTTATAACAGTGTCCTACTTCCCCCCTCCCCATTATCAGCATCACTTACCCTTGTATCTTAGTCCATTTGAGCTTCTATCACAAAATCCCGTAGACTGGGTAGCTTATAAATAACAGAAATTTATTTCTTATAGGTCTAGAGGATAAGAAGTCCAAGATCAAGGTGGCAGCAGATTTGATGTCCAGTGAAAGTCATTTTCTGGTACTTAGATTGTGCCTTCTAGCCATGTCCTCACATGGTGGAAGGTTCCCTTGGGCCTATTTTATAAGGGCACTAATTCCATTGATGAGGGCTCTGCCCTTATGACCTAATCATCACTTTAGGGGTTAGGATTTCAACATGTGAATTTGCGGGGAACACAAACATTTCAGTCCATATCACAATAAGGAACTTCTTTCCTTGACTGATAGTTTCTTAGCACAAAGAGCCTACAACAACCATACATTTCAAAAAGGGATTCTAGTGGTATTCTCTAGCGCAAGGGTCCCTCCCCTGGTAATCAGTGCCTCTAGATTCCTGGAACCTATATTTTCAGGAATGCAAAGCACAAATTTCCCAATTGTTCACAAAGAAGGATGGCACATCGGTTCACTCACTTTTACCCCCTGGTTCCCAATTCCATATATTATACCTATTGGGAACAAAGCATCATATAATGATTATTGATATAGAGTGCATACCGCATTCTATAATTTAGTGTTCCATCCCCAAAAGCTTTCATCTCCGAACTGGCACCTCAGTTACACCTAGTAGTTTTTGGATGGTGTGCTACATCATGAAACCAACAGATCTATCGTTATCTGATTGCTACTATGCTTTGTTGTAAAGTGGCTTCCTTGGTCCAGTGAGATATTATGAGAGCTCTCATATTGATGGATCAACACTACATAAGCCCTTGAGTAGTTATTCTGGCCAAACATCTATTGGCAGGAGAAGCAAGAAAGGCTGACCATTAAGTGTGTAGTGGCTATGGTCTCTGTTCCTGGAAGATTGGATATCTGAGGGAAGCAGTACCTAACTAATTCTTGGGACAGAGGAGCCCATACATTGGGTCCATGCACAGGCCTCCATATTTGCCACTCTAGCTACTCTATTCATGCCTGTTGTACCACCATTGTGGTGGCTGATGCCAGAGAAGGACAGATGTTAACTGGCTGAGTTATTTCTTTATGGCTATTTAATGCCTCTTCTGCATTAACATGCATTGCAGAGAACTTCACACTTCATGCCCACTCCTATCAGTCCAATATATGCTTCTTTCTCATATTTCCCTGACCCAGATAGTCTTATATTTTGCCTTCCAGTCCAGCCATGTCATTTGCCACTACCTATAACTCCATGCATATTCTTCTCTTAGGCTATTTCCACCCAAAGATTATGACCACATCATGGGACTGAAGATCTGCCCATCCGAAGGATGTCCCTTTTGCTTTACCTTCTTGGGTAACCTCTTAATAAGGCTTTAAGGAAGCAGCAATCCATTTCCAGTTTATACCCATATACCAAGTCAACCCATCCATGAACCAACCTCAGACTTTTTTTATTTTTCCTTCAGATGGCCACCAGGGAGGGCCCAGACAGAAACAGTATGAACTTAGGATGAGCTTCTGTTGCGAAAGAAGTACATAACTTAGGAGTGCAACTATCTGTGATCTCTGGCATACTCATACACAATTCCCAATATACTACCTACTGTAGATTGCCACTGGTCTTGCCAAATGCATTGGCAGTTCTGTCCACATGGATACTTGATGTCCCATGGTCAGGTGTTTCATCTCTACAACTACCCAGACATGCCAGAAGCCATTTCTCAATTTCAGGATAATTCTCTGCTACATATATTTTAGTTTTGGTCCAGAGCCTCAGTCTATGATTCTTCCTCTGGCACTACTATAAAATCTATGCATCATATTTTCCACTACATATATCTTTAATACCATAGAGTCTTCTAAGATATATGCTCCAAACAGCAAAATAGCTTGTATACTGCCTGAAACTGCTACAGAGTTCCATCAATTTAGTCAAATCCATGTCCGTTATCTCTTTACATATTTCTCCTATCATATTATCTCTCCCTTTTACTTTAGGGATTCCAGTTGCAAGTCAGTTAGAAACTTTGATATTATTCTATATGTCTTAGAAGCTCTTTTCTGTTTTCTTACTCTTTTTACCTCCAGGTGTTTCCTTTTGATTAATTTATACTTGCTTATCTTCAAGTTCATTGGTTCTTTCCTATGTCCAGTCCACTGATAAGCTCATTAAATTAATTCTTCATCTTGTATTATTTTCCTAGCATTGAAATTTGAATATTTTTATAGTTTCCATCTCTTTTGATATTCCTCATAGATTCAGTCATCTATCCACCTTTTATGATATATTTTTTAACATATCAGTCATGTTCTAAATCATTATTTTAAATTCCTTCTCTGATAATTTCAACCTTTCTGTCAACTTTATTCTTATTCCATCCATTTTTTGTTGTTTCTGGATTTTTTTTACATTTCATAATTTTTGATTGACACACCTTTAAACACCATGGCTGCATGTTTGCCTAGATTATTCCTCATAGAATAGCATTTGCTGGACTGCCTATCTGGAAATCTTTTACATGATAGTTAAAATTGTTTTTAATTTAAATATTGTTCATAATAAGAAACGTTTACAAAACTCTCATTTTGCTTTTGGAGCTCTTATGACTTTTTTAATTTTGTAATTCAAAATGGTTAGAAATATGAATTTGAATTTTTAAAATCACTGATTCTTAAGTCCATAAATTATTGTATGCCTGTATTAACTTGATTATGTCCTTTGTAAATATCATGCTATTATGTAAATTTTAGTCATTTTCAAAATGTTATCACAATTTAGATGTGTTCAGTAGTAGTTAAGCTGACTATTTTGATCATTTACTACATGAAAATTTTGTATTTGGCATTTTCATGAAGTAAAAGTAAATAGGTATGATCCCTGAGCTCAAATAAGTAGTGATAAAGTTTGGAAGATAAGACAGTAATTCAAATAAATAAACCCTAAAGAGACTCTGATAAATGATATTAGCTGATATGCAATGGGAGATATCAAAAGGAATATTTAAAATTAACTAGAATTTTGTAAGACCTCAAATAAAAAAACAGGCTGCAAACAGAGATGTGGAAATGACATTTCAGGCAGAACTATCAGGAGCTAACATGGATATGAGAAAATATTGAGAATGTTTAATTTTAAGCCAGTTTGATAAAAAGCAGCGGTCCTTAGCTATGATTTACCATCATCTAGAGAGATTTTTAAAAATATAGCTTGTCAGTCCTATTTCTCAGAGATTCAGATTTGGGATTTTGTATTTTTAAAAACTCCACGGTTGATTGTATTATTCAATCAGGTTTATAAACCAGGAGATGAGAGTATTTGATAATATCAGAGCAGCGACAAGAAAGGAAAGATTGGAACAGAGAATTTGGTTTTAGGCTAGGGAGACTACATTTATTTCTGGGGACAATGGAGAGTTCATAAAGTATGTTTTGAGGTTCTCATATGTGAAATGAAAAAAATTAAGAATCAGGAAAGTGATTTTGAAAAACTTGTCAAAACATGTAACGCTGACAAATGGGAAGAAGTTGGGTAAAAAGGGAATGAAGAGAAAGTAAGAAAAAAAAACACAGTCTGAAAAAAGACAGCTGATTGACAGATATATATATATATATATATACATAAAATCATGTATTTATATAATAGGAATATATATAATTTCTATTATAATATTGTTGATGCACGAAAATGTTTTGCTGATCAAACCTATCAGTTTATGAACTTTAATGGCTTGATTCTAAAAGGATTGTGTAATTTCCTATGTGAAAATATTCAATCTGGAGGCAGATGTTGAGGCGGACTAGTAAAGAGGATTTTTAAATAAGTGGGATCATAGGAAAAAAACTCAAATATCACAGGTAACCTTCCAATCTGCTTAAAAAAGGAATTGCCTGCATTATGAATGAAATAAAAAACTTTAGAACCACAAGCTGAAAATTATTTCAAACATAAACTATTGCTGTAGCTCCAAAGCAGGCAGGAGGGTAGGTGGAAAGAACAATATGTTAGACATAACAAAAAGAAAGAACATGGTTCTTCTTTTGTCAAATGAAGTCCATAATGAAATCATTAGATTTTGTGAAAATCATCTGCTATGCTGTGATTGAGGTGGCAGTGATGCATGCCAGGTCAAGGGAACTATGCAAGGAGTCTAGAACTCTGATTGACACATAAATATGCATTAGATAAATTAATGACCAGTAGGAAATACCTGGTATATAAGGCAATGTAGGCAAAAAACTGAGACTGAGACTTTAGCCAAGGCTTTGATCATGTCTAATAAATACTATTATTTCTTTTAGATGTGCTATGTCAAAGCATTGTTATCCTATGAAGATAAACAATCTTGTTGTTATAATAATCAGGGAGCATATGTATTTATATATATATATATATATGTGCACTTTATGAATATCTCTCTACTATGCTACAGTAGAGAAATTTTGATTCATAGTTTACAGATGAATAACTTAGAGTTTGAATAGGTTGGTAATTATTTGTGGGAGATCATTGTGAACCAAAGTCCAAGACCCTCCACAACTGTGTGTCTTTTTTCACACATGAACATGTCTTTGTTTGAAGGTGGGAAAAAGCAGAGGTCCCATTAAATATTTCCCCTTGGCTGCACAGACAACTCTTTTAGTTATGCACCTCAGAGGCATCACCATCGCCTCATTGGATTCTGACTCTCACCTTCGCAAGGACTAACAGTTTCCCCAGATTCTCAAGAACTGTTTTGTTCGTGGTTGGGAAGAGGCTGGGATTTCTGAGAAAATAACAGATATCTGTAAAACAAAATACAAAAACATGCACACATAAACCCACACACACGTATATGACAAGGATTTATTTTTTAACAAATATTTGAATGTATGCAGTTTGAATGAGACAGACAAAATCTATGCCTTTATGAAGCTAAGCTTGTCATGGAGAAATAGAGAGAAAAAGAAAAAAAAGATGAATACATCTTATGGAATGCTACAAGGAGATTACTTGTTACAGGAGGGAAACATAAAACAGGATAATGGCAATTGCGGATTAAGACGAGAATGCAATTTTGTATTGTGTGGTTGAATAGTCCTCATTGAGATAGTGACATTTGAGTAAAAACCTGAAGAAGATGTAAACTGTGAAATATTTGGAAGAGATTTTTTAGAAAGGGAATAAAAGTACAAAGGTCTTTTAGGAACAGCATGCCTAAAACTTTTGAGAAAATATAAGGAGGTCAATGTAAGTAAAGTAGACTAGTCAAGGGTGAGATTAAAATAAGATGAAGTTAGAAAGGTAAAAGGGACTTTGATATGTGTGAATCTGAAGGACTATAATGTTAAAAATGAGAATGGTTTATAGAGACCAAAATGCTCACATTGGCTAGTTATTCCATTCTTATCCTCTTTGGAGGCTACTTAGAAAGTCAAATTATAACCACAATTTTAATTAATGAATAAAACATTAGGAAAAAAAGATCCTAAGATAATCTTGATGATGCTGTCTCTAGCTAAACTGAGACATGTTTGCCTTTTATGGAGAGAACATTTCAAAAACAGAGTGAAGTGTCTTTTGTCAAATCTCCTCATCTCCCAACATTGCTGGATGCATCCTGTCCCAAACTCTTTTAACACTTTCTGTCCCTGCCCCCACACTTTTGTTATAAATTGACCATCTATCTTTTTTTAACTGAAAATTTCAGCACTGACTCTGCCAGCATTCTACATAGTGATACGGAGACTTTTCACTTATCTTCCTAGTTAGAATGGTGGTGTCTTTGGAACCACCCAAATCACTAATCAAATATAATGTGTTTGTGATATTTTTATCAAGAACCTGAAAGTAATAAAATGTTAAACATGTATCAGACCTTGGCTAGGTTGTTTTTGATGCATGCCTATACTCTATCATCCCAATAAACGTATGATGTACCAATAAGTAACACTCATTTACAAGTGAGAAGCTTGATTGATTATGCTTGTACTCAATTTTATTGTTACAAATATGTGCCCTTTCCTGTGGGAGAAACATTCTTTCCCATTCCATTTCTGTTGGACTTAGTCGTATAACTTGATTTGTAGGTGAAAGACTTAAGAGCCACCTGTATTTTATGTCATATGACCAAGCCCAGCATGAAAGGGAAGTGTCTTTTTTCCTCTTAAACACAGATGTCAATATCCCAGGTAGAGTATGCTTCATTAACATTGGTCTCAGAGTGAAGATAATGTAAAGAGGATCTGTAACTCACTCTAGTCATGGAGAGTGAGTGGGAAATAAAACTATGTCATGAACCTCTGAAATTGAGTGTACCTGGCACATAGTAAGAGCCTCACATGTCAGCTATTTTCATTATTGTCTTCTTCACTGTAATAAGCTTATTACTTATCTTTATTCACAACTAGGTATTATGTATTGGCTACAAGAACCATGTTTTCCAATTGGTATCCACGGTATTACTCAGCATAGCAACTTATGCACATATTAGAGTAGCTGCAAGGTAGGTAATTTAAAGTAATGATCAGAAGCACAAGTCAGAGGAAACATGATTTAAATTCTTGTTTGCTGTTATGGCCTGTGTGACCTGGAAGTTTCACTTACACTCTGAATACTCACCAGTGAGTTAAGGTTAATGAGATCTGCCTATCGGTTTGATGAGCATTAGCTAAGATAATGTGCAGGAAGCCTTAAGGGCAGGGCACACCTATAAGTGCTCAGTCAATGCTAGTTTTTATTAGTAGATGCTTGCTAGTAATGGATGTAATGGGCAAAGAAATTATTCTAACAATTCTACAATGGTTCTGTGCTCTTTCCAGATATTTCAAACATACGAAACACAATCTTGCTTTCCATTAAGCTCTGCTTATGTTATCATCTCGGTGTTTTCTATCTGTAAATGATTACCTCCCTAAAAACGTTTTTGTGTGAACAGGAAGTTTATTTTTTGGCTTGGTACCTCTAGTTGAGCATAGAGGTGGTTCTTGGTAGGTGCTTAAAAAATATTCGCTACTTGGCCTTTGAAAATCCCAGGTATTTAGCCAAAGTTAGATTTCATTTAGAAATCTCAGGGAGCCCATTAATAGACTCACTAAAGCCAAATTTAGAAAACTTCAAACTCATTCTTAATTCTTGTAGGTAATAAACGTTTGACTCTCAAAGACCATTACAAAAAAAATTATGAATTAGTATTCACAGTGACAACTTGATATAATTCATTACTTCACTAATATTCTCAACAAACATCACACTAAAAACAATCTCCTCAGTAGATTAAGCTTGTGCTTTGTTTTTGTCATTCACATTAAATTAGTAATCTGAACATTCATAGACCTAAATATATTTAACCTTGAAATATATTTTCTTTTGCTACCAAATACCAAGTTATCATTATAGAGAGAGGTCTTCATTTCTTGGTGATGTTTACCATAATGAACAAACTTTTAAGAGTTTTGTATTTAAATGGTTTCATGTTTTGCCTTGTCTGTTCCAACACAGGCATCAACTGTGAAATAAATCTAGATGAATGCCTATCAGAGCCCTGTCTCCATGATGGAGTTTGTATCGATGGCATCAATCATTATACCTGTGACTGCAAGAGTGGGTTTTTTGGAACACACTGTGAAACAAACGCCAATGATTGCCTTTCAAATCCTTGTCTACATGGAAGGTAGCTATTTTTTTTATTATTAGCTTTATGAAAGTATATTTAACTCACAATATTTAAGACTTAACATCAAGGGAAAGTTGATAAAGATAATTTTAATTATGCTCTTTCATAAAACAAGAGCTAAGTACATTTAAGATGACAGATGCTGCCAGTTTTAGCTAATGCAATGTACTGATACATTATCTCTGCCCTTCTTTTATTTCTGTTCATTAGCATAAAGTAATTTTCTATAAATGTGGATTAATTAGACTTTAATATACTTAAAGGTAACTGCTCATGGTAATAGAACTAGCAGGTAAGATGATGAGACATTCTATTATTTGCTCTATGGAGAGATAATACCACACAGTATTTAAAATGTTCCTAAGTAAACTGGTTCTTTCAGCCCTATGTGTATGAAAAGTATTTTATGACTCTATGAATCTGTATAATAACTGCTCTGATCATGGATAAAATATTGGTTAATACACATCTAGAGTGAAGGTATTTCTAGAAGATGCAGGTGGCAAAGAAGAATGCATCACAGATGCATCATGCTGCTTGCTTCCACGTTAGTTTTCTTTTATAATCCTGCCACCTACTTTGTAAGCAGGGAAGAGAGAAAGAAGGTTGGCAGCTCATTGCAATGCAGGCTGGCCATAGCTAACTTCAGTTTCTCACATAAGCCCTAGACATACTTTTTATCTTTTAAAACTGTTCATTCTTTTCATTGCCATGGGGAAAATGGCAAAAATGAAAATTGATCCGTTTTTTCAGTCCAGTCACCTTCAAGGATAAGAAACCCAGGAATAAACTCTGCTTTGTATTGCTCATGGGAGTGCTTTTTTCACCTGAACTAGGAAAGAAAAGTTTAAATGGTGAAACTCCCTTGAAGTTATGCTTTAACATCTACTTATTTGAAAATGTAATTCTAATTCTGTGTTTCAGGTGCACAGAACTTATTAATGAATATCCATGTTCATGTGATGCAGATGGGACTAGCACACAATGTAAGATCAAAATTAATGTAAGTCTTATAATTTTATTCAAGTTATATGACAAAAATTTAATTTAAAAGAAAAATCAAATTGCTTGCTGTAGGTTTCAGAGTCATTTCTTCCACAGTTGTTGATGATTTAACTGTTCTCTCATCTTTCCTCTGTGTAATTCTTTGGCTGCTCCAAACAAAACTACAAATCATGGCTTTTTTTCCCCCACCTTTTCTTTCTTTGTCTCTTGTTGTTAGAAAATTCCACGATTCTCCTCCCTCCCGCCGACCGCCCCACCAAACTAAATCCTAGAAGTATCCATTATCAACAGTTGCTCAGATGGCTTAAATTTTACCATCTGCCTCGTCCTCCCTGGTCTTAGGAGACAGAGGTATCTGTGGATCTGTAGGGATGACATAGGATTCAATTAATTCAGATATCACAAGGAGAATATAAATACTGGATGCATATATCAAGACGTGGGCAACACCTTTAATATTCTCAGGATATGTCTTTCAATCTTCAGGAGTCTCATGTGGTGTGATTGACATATGGTATTTTATATAGGATGCCTCATTTGTTGAAAAATGTTGGTCGACTGAGAATTGTGACCGTTCTTGGTGGATGAGAATCTTGTGAGCCTTTTGGAATACTGGGGAGTTCTTCCAAATCATTTTTGATTGACAATAACATGGTAAAGGGAGGAAGCATACAAACTAAAAGCCTTTGTCATTGTGAAACCATGGGTATTTTATTACATTCTTTGTGTCTCTCTCCCTCGTCAGTAAAACATAGCTATACTAGTTCTGACATCACAGGGTCATGTGTGAGAATGTACATGAAACACAGTAACTATTCAGTAAGTGGCCCTTCCAGAGAGGGGTGATGGAGTAGTTAAATGCATTCACGGAGAACCAAGATGGAAACTCTATATTGCTACTTACCTACTGTGTGTTCTCAATTTACATTTATTTTGAAATTATGTTTTGACTATTCAATAAAAATAATCACAGTAACTACCTCAGGTTATTGCAAGAATTAAATGAGATAATGCATGTAAAACAATTAGCACATTTTCTGACACACAGTTTTAAAAAGCATAATTATCTGTTGATATTGTGTTTATTTTGTTCTGGATAGTGAAAGTTATTCTTGATGTGGAAAGGGAAATGTAATAAATAAATTCCCTAGTAGAGAATGAATGAACCATACATCTTGTTTGCATTACTGCAAATATTGCCTGAAGTAATGTCTAAAACCATATTTCTTAATAGTACAAATATCATATTCTTAGTTTTGTATTAAAATATCAGTAAATAGACATTTTTGACATATGTATGTATATATGCATGCGTACATATATACATACATGGCCAATATTATGAGAGCAATTCTTAAAATTCTACCTATGTGATTCTAGATTTTTTCCTAATATTTTTATTTTAACATAAGAGCAAACTCATTATACTCAGTGACTTTTTTGTCTTAGAAGTATATCTTAGGAATCATTCCATTAAAATGCAAAGAGTCCTGATTCATTCTTTTTAATAGCTATAAAGTATTCCAAATAAACACTGAAGACCACACTTACCTGATGAGAGTATGAGCACACCGCTTACCTAGATCCTATTAAATGAAATCACTCTTTGCAAAGTGTTGACTAATTTCATGAGGAGAATGTAATTTGTCATTATTTTAATTTATATTTTCCTAGGTTACTATCAAGATTGAACACCTTTCCATGCTATTATTTGCCATTTGTAGTTCTTTGTGCCTTGCCTACTTATAGTTCTTTTACTTTTTGATTACTTGCCCTTTACTTTTTGATTTGTATGTCTTATTTTAAATTATAGATAAAATCTACTAGGTTCTGAAAAAATGCAAATCTTTTATAAAGTCTGGACACTCTTACTTTATACAGCTTATGAATTGTGAGATTTTCATATTTTTCTTTACCTTTTTCTTCCTAACTGGGCTTTGCTGCTCTCCAAAGAAATCCTTCCCACTGTAATATTTTAAATATATTATTATATTCTCATCTACAATTATAGAATTCGTGATACTTTTAGTGCTTTAACTCATAGTGAATATATTATGATTGATAAAAGCTAGGAATCTAACTTAATGGTTTCTTTTAAGTATAATCATTTTTTCCAAGAAATTTTATCAAAGGGTCTGTTAATTCTTTCTTGATTTGGAATGCTCCACTTTTCATATAATAGATTTCTATATATGGGTTAGTTTTTGGACGATTCTGTTTCTTTACTTTTTATTTCATTTGCACCAGTACTATCTAGAATAATTGTTATAGTTTAATACATTTTTTAAAATTTTGTCATGTTTCACTAATACATTAAGTGTACTCTATATGTAATTTTGCTCATTCATTCTGTAAATCTTAGATATTGAATGTCTATAAGAAATTGAGATATAATAATCATTAGATATATTTCCTACCTGACCAGCTCCACATGGAAAGTGATCTACATCTCTCTCTATCTTACTTACTAGCTGCCCTATTTATTTTAGCTTTCTCTATGGTGCAATGCTTAGATAACACACTCTGCAGGAGATTCATGAACTGTTTTTCAAGGCTAAAGAGGCAAGAAAAATGGAGAAAGATAGGCAGTACTAACTGAAAAGAGCACTCGGGTCAATATAGGGCAAGGTGTTACATGTGAACCTCCTTAGGAGTGGAAATAATATAGTTTATGTTAGGGCTGGATGGGCAGCAAGACAAGCAAAATTGCTGTGATGGTTAATATTGAGTGTCAACTTCATTGGACTGAAGGATGCAAAATATTATTCCTGGGTGTGTCTGTGAGAGTATTGCCAAAGGAGATTAATATTTGAGTCAGTGAACTGGGAAAGACAGACCCACTCTCAATTTGAGTGGGTTTGAGTGGGTACAATCTAATCAGCTGCCAGCTCAGCTAGAATAAAGCAGCCAGAAGAACGTGGAAGAACTAGACTGGCTGAGTCTTCCGGCCTCCATTTTTCTCCCATGCCGGGTGCTTCCTGCCCTCAAACATTTGACTCCAAATTCTTCAGCTTTTGGACTCTTGGACCTTCCACCAGTGGTTTGTCAGGGGCTTTCGGGCCTTCAGCCACAGACGGAAGGCTGCACTGTCGGCTTCCCTACTTTTGAGGTTTTGGGACTCGGACTGGCTTCCTTGCTCCTCACCTTGCAGACGGCCTATTGTAGGACTTCACCTTGTGATAGTGTGAGTCAGTACTCCTTAATAAACTCCCTTTCACATATACTTCTATCCTATTCGTCCTGTTTCTCTAGAGAAACCTAATACACTTTGTTTTGTTTTTTGTCCAAGTGACAATTAGAAGGAAGCTTTAAAAATTAGAATTAATGCTGGAGAAGAGCAAATGCATGCCTGGGGAGAGAACATATGCCATGACTAGTGAAAAAAATGTAATTTAAGTTCTGGATATGCACACACAAACAGAAAAGGAAAGTGAGTAGGGCAGCATAGAAAGCAGATATTTTTCTTTCAAGTTTGATAAGACTTAGGAGGATGGCATGTATCTTTCTCATGCACCATGTATATTTACATGGAAGCAGTATTATTTTTAAGATATCAAATTATAAATATATGTTATGTACTGAAATGGAAAAAACTAATTACAGAATTTAAAAATCGTGACTTTCTCAGATGAAGTAGAAATAAGAGAATTCGTGCTTTAACTCGTAGTGAATATATTGCTATGAGCAGACTTAACATAAAGCAAGGACTCATGTAAGTTCTCTAAATAAAAAGGAAAGAATTAAAAAACTGTGTATAAATAGCAAAGACATGGAATCAACACAGGTGACCATCAGTGGTGGATTGGATAAAGAAAATATGGTACATATACACCATGGAAAACTACAGAGTGATAAAAATGAGTCATGTCCTTCACAGCAACATGGATGCAGCTGGAGGCCATAAAACTAAGGTAATTAATGCAGGAACAGAAAAACAAATACCATATGTTCTCACTTATAAGTGACAGCTAAACATTCAACACCTATGGAGATAAACATGGGACTAATAGGCACTGTGGACTAGAAGAGGGTGGAGGGAGAGGAGAATGGTTCGAAAAAATGACCTATTTTATGCTATGCTCACTACCCAAGTGCAATACACCCGTGTAACAAGGCTGCACATGTATCCCCTGCATGTAAAAAACTGAGTACGCACACATGAGTGCATGTATTTGTGTTTCTCTGAGTGTGGACTGTAATTTATGAGCTTTTTATTTAATATAATTTACATTTTGTCTGCCATGTATATCATGTATATTTTTCTATTTTTTGTTATTCTTTCATTAGTACATAGTGGATTCTGGCATTCAGAAAATTATTTTCAAGTATCCAGATTTATTTGAACACAGACTCTAAAGGTTCTGTGATTTTTGACAGGTTTAAAAGGGACTTATTTAACAAGTTCTTCTCATTCTTTTTATTTGAAATTAAATGATTGAACCATCAGAATGCTTTCCAGGAGAGGGTTTGAGTTGGAGTCCATCTCCCTCAACAAATGGTCAGCTTTTTCCTACAAATTATTTTAGAGAATATCGATATCCTTTAATTAGAAACAAATCTTTAAAATAAACAAGATCTTGCAAAATGGGAACATTCATTACACACACACAGAGTACCTTGCTTTTCCACTTAATCAATCATAGAAAATTATTCTACTTTATATATAATTATATATATATTCTATACTACCATATATTGTTCTACTTTCTTCTTATTAATATTCTATTGTGTGGAAACACCATATTTATTTAATTAGTATCCTTTTTTGGATATTTAAGATATTTTAAGTCTATTGCTCTTAAAAATTCTTTCTGTGTTTTAGGTACAGAAGTTTGAGTTCATTCTAGCTATTTCTAGCATAAAATAATTAGCACTACTTTTAAGACCCCCTCTTGCTCATTTGTTTGTGTGTGCCCTACCATACTTGTGTGTTTATTAGAAATATTTTCCTACGTATTTGTTCTGACAAAATGTGATTATTACTTATTGGTATATGTATCTTTTGTTTAAATAAATGCCATTATGTTCTCTAGGTATTTGTTCTCTAGCTATTCCATTATTTGCCCTCCTGCATAAATCTTGAATCCCTAAGTTAGGGAAAGCCTATCACGACTCATGCAAAAGTGAGCCCAAACCTAGATCAGAAGAGCAAAACAAGTGGGGGTAAGAGAAGTTGCATTTCCTTTTCCAGACTCTTTTTACTACCAACAGCAACCACATCACTTACAATGCTACAGATTCCGTAGTTACGTCTAATCAAAGTTCTCAGTCTTTTGGATTGCCCAATCCTGCAGCTTGCAAAGTAAAAGCCCATATAATTAATGAGATTTTGAATATACGCATTTAAAAACACTGGACTACACTAGCAGTTTTTATTCAGAACTGGACAAAGTTCACGGAATTCTGTGAAGGTTAATAGGCCTTTGCAGAGGGAATGGTAGGGACTTAGTAGGTACCGTGTTCTGTTCCCACTCTTCAAATAGTAGTTCTCTCTGTATCTGTTTCCCTTTCTCCAAGATCTTAATTGAGGAAAGTATTCCACTACCCAAAACACCAATGCTAAAAAATAAAACGTGATGCCATGAGAGAAATGTTATGATAAAGATGACATTGGGTAATTTCCTTTTCTAGGCAGTTAAGAGATCACAGGACAACCCTGTGGATCTAAACCACATCCCTCAGAGAGAACACAACTAACTGAGTCAGTGAGATAACTGTCACATTTACTAGCCCAGTATGTACTTTGCCCTGTCTAAGAATTTCACAATGAATATATCACTGCCCTGTTCCTTTCATGCTCCTGTACATTTCCTGGCATAATATTTTCAGTACACGTTGAATGAATATATCACTGGGGTCAAGCTCTGTTGTCTAGATTGCCCTGGTCTGCAGGATTCCTCCCAGCTTCCATCTCTTTCTCTAAATACTCAACCTTTTATATCTTTTATTTTCTGAAATTACTTTAGTGAACTCTTTGGGAAAGCACTTTATTATATTAAATAGAATATAGCAAAGCAATATAAATGATGAACAAAACGAAAGGCATCCTTTTAAATTTTTAAACCAGGAAAGATCAAGAACTTTAAATGACAATTTGATTTCCTCTAAAAAGAAATTGCCTTTGTATTTCCCATTAAGCTTTCTAATTAATTTAGTAAAAGATTCTTGAAACCCTGGAGACAGAACTTTTGGCAGTCTAAAAACTATCCCTATTTTCCCATGGGAGATACAATTCAATTAGTTTATGTAATGTTTTCTAATAAATCATTCTATACATATCTAGAAACAGAGTTAGGGGAGAAACATGTTTCCATGCCACTCCCTGTGGAATTCTGCATTTCTATTCCATAAATAAAACTGCAATACCTACAGGATAGTCTACTATGTGCTCTTGGTTTTTCTTAACAAGTTCACGTTTTCAGCAAAAGTGGAACAAATATCAAAGGATTTGTTTATAAAAACATACTTAGTTCTATCACTTGTAGGGGGTGGGGGTGTACAAGATCACTATCTAAGTTCCAGGCATGACTGGAATATTATACTGAAGTGCACAATTCATTTCTAATTGTGGATGACGCTAATTAATCTCTCTGATGATTTTTAACATCATCTAATTTTCCAGTGGATACATGATATTAATGCAATGGCTTCCATAATAGTCTTGTCGGTATGAGTTTTTGTCGTTAATACTTTTTTAAAAAGTCACTAAATATTTGTAAGCATAGGTGTCAATTAATGAACAATAATTCTAGAAAATTGTCACTTTTCAAGGTAAAACGCTGAAGAAGTATTTTATGTTTGCATATGGAATTATCCTTGAGAATGTAAGAACTCAAGACCTAGAGTGCAAAATGATTCAAGTTGGTTTAGGTTCATTAAGATATTATCTTTAGGTAAAACTCTTGAAAATAAACAGTTTTACTAATGATGTCATAACTTTCCATAAATTAGTTCTCAGAATTATGGGTGCAAATCTTTTCAGTTTACATTATGAAAAATAATGTCATACCATGTTTGTGGTACTATGACATGTGTTTTCCACACTGTAAGTATATATATAAACCCTAAACTGTAAACTTAAAAGCATATGGTATGATATGGTAGAAGCTAAATATACAGAGAAACATATTTCTTGTTCAAATTAAGTGCCAAAAGATTGAAATAGAGGCTGACTGAGCCCTTGGCCTTCAGAGTGGAGAAGAAAGAAAGATAATATTTACTGATCACATATGACGTTTAAGACACAGTGCCATTATTTTATTTAACTCTCATAGCACACCATATGAGGTGGGTGATATTATCACCATTTTGTGCATCCATGTAGTTACAATAAATAAAATACCATTTGTTGAATAAGTAAGTAAAACTATGAGAAATTTTAAAATATTTTTAAGCTTAAAAAGTAACAGGTATTATCCAGATTCCTCTAACTCTACAAGACATTTGCACTTCTGCAGCTACAGGTGTCAGAAATGCTGGACATACATTTGGACAAATGCATGGGGAAAAGTAGGTAATTAAAAGATTATGATTGGATTCAAACTTCAGCTATTACAGATGTTTTAGCTATTTTACATGGATATAAATGCATTGTGAAATGTTTGTTCTAAGTATGTGATCAAACCCAGAAATCCTTTGAAATTTAATGGAAGTACTATTAATCATTACCGTAGGAGAGCAGAGTTGAACTGGGGCTGTTTTGGGAAAACTGAGAGGTATGGTAGACACTAAGGGCCAGTGAATTCTGTTATCTGCAGAGGAAATTTGCTTTAGCACCATTATTGGGGGCAGGGGCAGTTCTCTGACATGATACATCTTTTTATAAAGATTAATAATGATTTTATTTCTTGGTAAATCAGCAATAAAATATTTGACAGTCTTTCTGGTAATAAAAGGTAAAAAACCGCTTACTGTCATAAACATATATTTCAATTAACAGAGGAAGGAAATGTCAAACAAGTTTGCACATCAGTTTTTTAGATTATGTTTAAATAAAAATATAATTATATTAAAATGGTCAACCTTATACTAATAATCAAATTTGATTCTCTATTTCTTAATCTAGGACTGCACATCAATCCCTTGTATGAATGAAGGCTTCTGTCAGAAGTCAGCACATGGATTTACTTGCATTTGCCCACGTGGATACACTGGTGCATACTGTGAAAAAAGCATTGATAATTGTGCTGAGCCTGAACTTAATTCAGTCATCTGTCTTAATGGAGGGATCTGTGTTGATGGGCCTGGACATACTTTTGACTGCAGGTCAGTATTTATTTACCCACAAGTAAGTAAATATATATTTAGGAGAGCTTATAAACATCCCACTAGTAATGCACTCTGCAATGTAAATACTAAGTTTTGAAGTAAGATTTTACCTTATATATATATAAGCACAACTTAGAAAATAACAATTACAAAATGTCATTGTTTATATTTTCCAAATATCATATATTCATATCACTCCCATGTTTTGCTTTCCCAGTTAAATCATCCCTCATTTTATCATTGTTTTTTTATCTCTTCTCCTTTCTCAAAGTGGGTTTTTATTCTTTTTCTCAAATATTTTATACCAAATGAATGATTTGCTAATATTTCACATTTATAGAATAATTCCTAGCCAGAGATTCATTTCTGTTACTACTATGCCTATCTCCTGAGATCTTAATAGGTTATAAAAATTTTATTTGAGTTATAAAAGCAAATTATTCTATCAATCACTATATTTTTGAACCACTTTTTAAAGGTATAGTTTTAAACATTTTAGGAGATGAATTTTTTTCCTTTGTTATTTCTGATTATATAATATATCCAATGGATTGGTCATTTGAGAATTTAGTCACTATCTGTTCAACTTTAAAATAATAACCGAACCCAGGTATTAAAAAATATACACACATACTTGACCTCCTTTCAGTCTCATTTGTGCTAGGATGATGTTAAGTTAAAATTTGTGAGCTGTATTTCTGTCATATATCTTAAATTACTGACAGGTTTATCATGTATATCTTGATATATAGTTATTTACTAGTAAAGTATACTTATCATTTCTATATTTTATTATTTCTTTTTAAGACACTAATATATTCTGCCTTCTATACAATACTGTCACTTCCGTATTTTCTGTGTTCAATATCTAGGGCATGTTTTGCCTACTTATATATTTTGGTATCTACTGTATTTTTTATTTGGTGTGTATCTCTAGTAAGACATACATAAAAGCTAATTTCATATAAGTTCAAGAATATTAACTTACATTTAGCATAGGCAAACAATGTTTATTTATTATTACGACATAGATATTAGTTATTACACATTGCCTAACATGCCATTTTTGTTTGATATACACATGCATCAGACATGTGTGTGTACCTGTGTGTGTGTGTGTGTGTGTGTGTGTGTATTTTAAATCCTTCTTTCTCGTATCTTGTGTTTTGAACATACTTTCTGTTTATCGTACTTTTGTAGATTGATAAAATATAGTAAACATGTTTTTTATACAAATGGAAATTATATAAAACAAAATTATTAAAATGACTGCTACAAGGATTCTCAGGGTTATAACCTAATAATTGCCTGGACTAAGTCATTAATCATAAATTGAACGTATATTTCTGATGGATACAGTGTTAAAAATCAGGATTCAATTCATGGAAATACATTTTGTTCAATAAAAAAATTGATTATCAAAATAAGTAAACATAAACCTAAAATGTGTATTTTTACAATCTGTTAGTATTTGTTAAATCAAGCACTGTAAGAGCTCTTAGTCCATTTAGTGTTGCTATAACAGAATAACAGAGACTAGAAAAGAGGTTTATTTGGCTTATGCTTCAAGTGGCTGAAAAGCCCAAGAGCATGGCATAGGCATCTGTTTGGCTTCTGATGAGGGTTTCATGCTGCACCATAGGATGGCAGAGATGTGAATGTGGAAGCTGGAATGCAAGAAGGACCAGACAGGAGAGGCAAGCTTGCTTTCTGACAACCACTGTACCCAGAACTAATCTTTTCTCGAGAGAACAAATCCCGTCTCATGAGAAAGACTTTAATCTATTTTAAAGGTCTATTCACTGTGTACAGGCACCACCTCCCAACATTGCTGCACTAAGGTTCCAACATGAGTTTTGGTATGGACACCTAAACCATAGCAAGCTCCTGTATAAATATTCCTTTTAGGGAAAAGTTATCCACAGGCTAGCTTGGCTGATTTTTTTTTTTTTTACAGCATGAAGCCAGTAGAATTCAGGCTGAAGATGCCTGCTTCTTTTCCTGGCATATTTCCCAGGGATAAGCATAGGCATTCATTACTGCTATAAAGTTATTCAAACTGTATTTAAATAGGAGTCATCTATCTCCAAAATTATCATTGCTGATTCAATGTGTTTAAAAGCCCCTGAAGATCTGTCAATGGTAATGCCTTGGGAGGTGCAGTTTCTACTGGGACTCCACGCTACACTATGAGAAGTCAGAGCTGGTGCCAAATCAACACAGTCCTTAGATAGTTTACTTACCAAAGAAAACTCATATTCTAGGATAGAAGGTAGTGCTTTTCAAGTCAAATTATGAGATTTGTTCATGGGTTAAGGGTTAATCCATAGTATGTTTATGTAAAATCATAATAAAATTATTATTTGATATTTAAAGAAGAAAATTGAACTTATTGTTCTGAGTTCTATTTTGTGTTCTCTAAATTTAATCAAAAAGAATCATGTCACTCTTAAAAACCTGGTAAAATATTTTGTTGTTATTATCTTTATACTATTTTTGCTTCAAAGTTTATGCCAATCATAGTAAAAGTTAATGTCTTCATTCTTGTTGCTGGTTTGTTAATGATTTTGCTAAGGTCTGTTTGACTTTAATTGGGAAAATTACTCAACTTTATAACTTTGCACCTTAAGGGTATTTATCCTGAGGTCTTACTTGCAAGGAAAACTATTTTATTAAATATTTCAGCCTTTAATGACCTGCAGAATATTCCATAGGCTTGCTCTTATAATTATTTTAGAATTATTTTTTCCAATTGAAATTTAATGCTGAATGACATTACACAAATAAACAAAAAAGGTAAAGACTGTGCTACCCTTTAAAATTGCCTGTAATTTTTTTAATTGCCAACCTAAAATATTTTGTTGTGTTGTAAGATTCACATATTAATTTTAACTTGGTGAAGTGTAAATTTCTTAGATCTTATCTTTGACTGAGGATGATATAGTAAGTGCTGTCAAGTTTGCTTTCATCTCCGTCATTGCCAAAATTAAACCAAGGAATGGTCTTTTTTCATGAATGCTATATGTTATAAATTCAGTTGATTCATTTCTTTCACAGAAGTTAAAATGACTTTTATTTAATTAAAAACCATGTAGAAAAGATTTATTCCAATGACTGACATATAGAGAACTTATAATTTAATTCCCTTCTGTTTTTATTTCTGGAGTTTTAAGTGTTTATTCAAAATATGTGGTGTCATACGTTTCTGTTATTTATTTCTTCAAGTCAGGGGAATTTTTAAAATTATTCTATTTGTCTTATGCAGATGATTGATACTGATTCACTCATTCTGCAGTCTACCTTGGGTAGCAATATTGCTTACATATTGTATATCACACTTCTTAAAAAATTTTCTTTGATGAATTTTTTTGCTTCCTTTTTTAAAAATTTCAACATTTTCAACATTTATTATAGATTAAAGGACACATACACAGGTATGTTATAGGGGTAAATTACTTGATGCTGAGGCTTGGGATCCCAAAAATCCCATCACCCAGGCTGTAAGTACAGCACCCAATAAGAGGTTCTTCAGCTCCTTTTCTCCATTCTGCATCTAGTGATCCCCATTGTCTGTTGTTCCCACCTTTATGATCATGTGTATTCAATGTTTAGCTCCCACTTATATGGAGAACGTATGGTGTTTGGTTTTCTGTTCTTGTGTTTGGTCATTTAGGATCATGGCTTCCAGCTCCACTCATGTTTCTGCAAAGGGCATAATTTCATTATTTTTTGTGGCTGCATAGTACTCTATGGTGTGGTGTATATGTACCACATTTTCTTTTATCGATCTGCTGTTGATGGGCATGTAGGTTGATTCTATATCCTTGCTATTGTGAGTAACACTACTTAAAACTCTGTCCTTCATGTATTTCACTTTTTTCAGTTTTTATATTTTTGTTCCTTCTCACATTTTTATTTACTTCTCAAACTTTTATCTAGTTTTTCTGAAATTTGTGTATTTTAATCTCTTTTACTTTTCAATGTGCCTTAGTTTTTCATTATTTTCTTTCATCGTAAATGTAACGCCCACTTAAAAAGCCATATTATTATATTCTGTTTACAGAGTAGTTAGTTTATTCCAAGAGTTTGATTTTTTTCAAAGTTCATATAGCTGAACTCATCTTTTTATTGTTACAGAATTAAGTTGACTCAGTGTGTCAGTTTCTAGCATTTTATATCCCGGCTTTATTGATCTTCGTGGTTGTTACCCAGATATAGCCGAAGACCACTTTCATATCCTAACTCTATTTGCCAGACTCTTGTTTATTGAATTATTTCTGTGTCTTTAAGACTATTTTAAATAAGGCTGCACCATTAAATGTCTGGGCAGAGGCAAGCATTAATGCACAGGAACATCCATGAAAGCCTATTTTTACTACATGTGTTGTGGTTGCCAGGGTCTAAGGGTCAAATTACTACACAAGTATGAGTCTATTTAAATATCTTCCTCTACTATTAAATTTTGAGTATTGGACCTCTCCAGGTCAGAGTCATATCAGATTTATACTTTGTTCATTGCTGATTTTTCTCATGAAAACATTTTATTATTTTAAATTATTTTAGAACTAAGACAATGGTACATAATTAAGATAGCTAGTATTCATTTAAAAAAATCTTGCTGATGCAGTAACTAAATTTTGAAAGATAGGTAGATTCTTTGTTTTCTGGCAAGGATAAATTTGCTGTGGTAGTTAGCACAGATATCAACACAGAAGAGTTGTATTTTGATGAAGAAAGAAAAAAAAAATTACCAAGAAACCCAGATTAGATATAATTTTTTACACTTTGAGTTCAGTGGTCTTGTCTAACGTTCTCAGGCACATTTAGAGACACTGAACCTGTTAGGAATTTATTTTCTATGCAACAGATTTGTAAATTTATAAGTTGATTTATATATGGACTCCTTTCAAAGCAAAATAAATCTCATGTTGTCTCAGTTAAATTATATATTTGATATATACAAATATAAAGCTAGTTATAAACCCATTATGTTTATTGCTGTTATATAACTATAAAAATGTTTTAAAGTTCAATGAAAACTATAAGCCTAATTGAATTGTTACCATAAAATGCTAATTTAATGTGATAAACTCTGATGTTGCTACCATATGACATTGTCTACATCAGTGTCCCCTTGCTCCAGTGTGCCAGTTGAAAATATAATTCTTCCAAAGCATGTTTTATACTGTAAATCCTTAGTGTGCTATATCGTGATCATAGGTAGATTATTTAAACAGGAAGGGAAGGGAAGGGAAGGAAAGGGAAGAAGGGAAGGGAAGAAGGGAAGGGAGGAAGGGAAGGGAAAGAAAGGGAAGAAGGGAAGAAGGGAAAGGAGGAAGGAAGGAGGGAGGAAGGAAGGAGGGAGGGAGGAAGGAAGTAAGGGAAGGACGGAGGGAGAAGGAAGGGAAGGAAGGACTTAAGCCTGTTTGGAATGTGACTCTGGATAGTAAAATGAATGAACCACTGACATATAGTCTCCTTATTACTGTGGACAAATACATAGGCAGTATGTTTTGCATACTGAAATAAAATAAAAGTTAACTATTTCAAGCAAAATAAGTTAGTATTTCTTTTAGATAAACAGTTACTTAGATGTTAGGTGTGTAGTAACATATCATTCTATAACCATACTTCAGGTGATTTATAGAGAAGTGAATGGACATTTTAAACACCTAAACTTATTTTTAGTAATGTATGTTTTAGGCAATCCAAACAT
Organism: Homo sapiens; assembly: GCF_000001405.40. Taxonomy (NCBI): domain Eukaryota; kingdom Metazoa; phylum Chordata; class Mammalia; order Primates; family Hominidae; genus Homo; species Homo sapiens. Next base: position 64,807,658 of record NC_000006.12, on the reverse strand, counting down.
TTAAGTGATTGACTTTATATTACGTAATGAAGAAATGCCAATTTAATAATATGCACATCTGAAGTAGAGAAAAGTTACATGACAAATAATAGATAAGATTTTCAAAGTCTTTGCCATTCCCAAACTATATATGTTATTTAAAATAATTGAAAATATTTTTGTTCAGAAAATATAATACCTGATGATTTCATTTCTAGCTGTAAACTCAATTGAGTTTTAGGGCTGAGGGAAATTACAGAGATTACCTTTAGTGTCCTAGTTATTATATAGGTGACAAGGCAAAGGCCTAAGGAGGTTTGTACTCTGTCAGTCATCAAAGCTGAAGTCACAATCAGTGGGAAGGTCAATACCAGAATCCAATGCATTGCTCATTTATTTTTATTACAGTATATTTTATTTGAAATATCAAATACAAAAGAAAAAAATATATGGTAAAAAGAGAAGAAATATTTATAGTCAGATATCATGACTATTCTTGCAGTTAGACATCTATTTTGTATTTTATTTCCTGATGCAAAGTTTAAAGACATTAATGACTTTGTTCAGTGTAATAATGACTGCTTTCAGAAATCCATAAGTATTATTAACCATGTGTAACACTTTAATAGCATTTTAATGCATGTAAGTTTTATTAACCTGTAAAAGCTATGTTGAAATTACACTAAAATTCAAATTAGACTCACACAGCAGAGGACTACAGAAATAAGCAAAGACATTATACATAACTTTTTTAATCTGTAGATTACACAGAATTTAGGAAATGATTTATAAAACAAAGCACTGAGACACAAAGATGGTTTGTTTTTAATATGTGAAACCCTGTTCCAGGCATTTTTTTTTTCCATAGTGCTCTCTGCCTTTGCCTTACCGAGTCCTCATCCATCCCCACAACTTTCCCACCCTCCAGCTCCAAATTTCCCTTTAATCTTATATGATTTTTTTTTCCCAGACTTGATTCTCCTTGGTCGTTATCTCCATATTTTTGAAGTGTTTCATATTCTTGCCCTTACTATTTACTTAAACTTTATTACTCTTTCTACCTTGAACTGAGCATAATTAATTCACACTAATTATTTGTTAAAAGATTAGTAAGCTTTAATGTTTGATTCCTGACATTTTCAAGTTTCTTTTTAAAAAGATTGCAGGAAAATCAGTAAAAGTGAATTATTTTAAATTATATATTCTTAGGGACCACGATATCCTATAATATTGTTAAAAAAAATATTTGAGATAAGTAATCCATACTGGTATCATATTGAGGAAGGACAGAAGCTATTTTCTTATATGCTTAGATAAAAAACTCCAAAATAAAGACTAAGAGAAGTTAGGTAACTTATGATGGTTACAGGGTAGTGATATTGATTGTACAATAACCATTTTCAACTATCATTAATCAACTTAGCTTTAAGTTAATTAGTTTTACAGCTTGGAAAATGATGTTGGTATTTTAACAGCTGTAGTTTAGGTGACATTTTATTAAATAGAGATTATATTTTCAAAAATAAAAGATGGAACATGTAATACTCTAAATTTATGACTATTACTTCACAACATGGAGAGATTCAAATTTAAAACATCAACCTATTTTGATTTTTTAATGTATTCTTATTAGTAATTATGTCATAATTTTAAAATTATATTTTATCCATCAAATTAGTAGGCCTTTTCCTATATTCACATGTAAGATTTTTTTTACAATTTCATCTCATAATAATGAAATCTTTTTCTGATGACCTCCTGAACTATCACAACCCTTATAATTGCTTACTAAATATTTTTCTTTGTTCATGTTTTAAATAAAATTACTAGAATTTCAAATTTCCTTGGGATTTTTAAAAATTATGTATTTTTGTACTTTAGTTCTCCAAATCAGAATTTTTGAAATACTTACAGATATTTCAAATATTATTAACAAATTGAATCAATCTAAAATATAATTTTACTAAATAAATATTATTAAATAATAAATTAGAATTCATTAAAATTTTCATAGTTCCAGCTTTTGCATAACTTTTGGAACTGATTTTGAATGTAATACCTTACACACCTTTTTCTGTTTAGTCCTGTTATGATTTCTACTTTTCTGTGTCATTCCATAGATAAATAAATAAAAATATATTTTGAGTAGTGAGAATTTATTATAGTTTGCCTTTCAAAATACCTAGCAATAATTTATGATCAAATTATTTTTGAAAGGTAAATCTAGATTATTTTCTAGATAAAATCAATGTCAGCTATACTAAATGTGATGGTAAACCACAGTTAGTGATCACATGTTCAATCAAAAATTTAAACGAGTAACAGAAAAAGCCTATGCATTCAATATAATAGATTTCATTCTATCAAACACAAATAGTGTTTGCTCAACAGCATCAAGTTCAATTTTAAAAATACATCTGTTTATTCCATTTGGGGATACAATTAAGGTTACTTTATTGCCATATGTAGAAAATAAAATGAGACTACTCGTTTAATTCACCAAGTGAATTTACATTAAAGAGTATCTGATTTACACATAATACTTACACTGAAAATTGGCAATTGCTGTATTTTTTAGGCAACTAATTGATTTCAAAATAAGATTAAAATTTTAAAAAGTTAATTTCATGGTTCATCTAATTATTATATAACTTAATTCAGCAAATATTTTTTGGAAAACTACTATGTACAAAAAAAATTGCAGTTGGAATTTGAAAATTGAGAAATCATAGCTGTACCTGTATTTCCTTCAGAAGTTCTTATAAATAGATTTTAGCAGAAGAAAATATGTATGTGATACATTTTAATAGGATGATTGTGTCCATTCAAAAATTACAAATTAGTTTTAGTCTCCAATCACAAATATGTGAATTTTTTATGTATATTAAAATATATTTGTGACTATTTCACAGAAAATATAAATACACAGATATATTCAAATTCCTTTCCTTTGATGAAGCAGAAATAATTTTCTACGGTTTAAAACACCTTTATCAAACATAGGTTGCTTTAGTATGTCATCAGATTCCAAAAGCCAAAGAGGCGCATATACGATCCATAGGATCAAACATGACTAATTAATTACAATTCTGTATTTCTTGAAACCAAAAGGAAAAATGAAGGAAAAAAAAGTAGACAATTTAACCATATTAAAGAGAGTTGTGGCACTAATAATTATGGATTTATGATAGTTTGTTTGGCATAATTACCAGATGGTTAATGAGTTTGGTGGTTTTCTGTGGCAAGATAAATAGTAAAAAATGGTTCACCATTTAAATTTTGGTAAGAATAAAAGTGAATTGTTATATGTCACACTTCTTTTAATTTACTAGAGTGTGAAAAGAAGTAAATATTGATGTCCAGTTCTACTATCTTTACTGTTAATTCCTATCAAAGTTAATCTTTAATAATACTAAACAAGTTATACCAAGTATACTGAATTTTCTAGAGAAAGAGTTCAAACTATTTTAACTGATAAATATCAAATGGCTGTCTCAAAGCAAAATTTGATGCCTTTAATAAATAACAATTTTATTGTAATAAATTACATACCTCCAGATAATTTTGATTGTAGGTGTGGCCCATCTGGACCAGCCACTGCAAAGACACTGGCTGCAGTAGGTGAGGCACAGCCAGGGTTACACTCCAAGGAGCAGGCAGGAACCACGCCCCCTTCCAAGTCGGTTGGGTGAGAGCCCTACCCTCCCGGGCGCAGCTGCAGCCACCCAGCCATGGCTGTGAACCCAGGCATCCCTGTGCTCTGGGGGCCCTGGAGAGCCTACCCCATGGCCCCACAGTCTTGGAAGTGCCTGCTCTTGCTGCCTGGACTCTTCCCCACTCCTGGCACCTGCTCCAATTTTGGAGCAAGGTTGAGGCCAAGCCCAGGCACTGTCAGGACCGGCCAGGTGTGCCCATGCTTTGGGTGATGCTGACATGCCAGCCCTCTGCCGCCCTGGCCCCCTCCAGATTTTGGGCACTGACAAACACAAGAGGGAGGCCAAGGGGATGCTGAGGGTAGCTCCCTATGGACCTGCAGACGCCCCTCCACAAGAACAGCCTGAGCGCCTTGGACAACATGATTGATGATGGTGGGAGGCAGACAGGCTCCTGGGCAGAAAGGGGTGAGTCCCCATTGATGCCCCACCTTCAAGCCAGGGAAGGCGTGAAGCATGGGGCCAGGCTGTCAGTTCCAGGTGGAGTCTACTTTGGGATTTAGAACTCATGGTGCTTTTTCCAGACCCAACCATGGCCAATCAGCACAGACTTCCTCCCTTCTAAAGCCCATAAACCAACCCCCCCACACACACACCTTCAGTCCCCCTACTCAGCCAGACTCAGAGAGACATCTGGATGACCAGCTGTGGAAAGGAGCTACCCAATTTGAGTCTCCTTGACTTGTAGGGTCAACCTGCCTATGAAAAGGAGGTACCCACTCCAGATTTGCTCTCTGCAGAGAGCTGGAAAGGAGCTACCCACTCTGGGTCTCCTGGGATAACCTGCCTACAGAAAGCAACTACCCACTTCGGGCCTCCTAAGAGCTGTTCTGCTGATCAATGAAGCTCCTCTCCAAGCTTCTGAGGACCACATGGCATCTCCAAGCTTCTGGGAACCACTGCATTCCCCTCGTCCAGATGTGGGTGCCTGCAGTGGGAGCTACGTGCAGTACCTCTGGTCCAGTTGTAACCTTGCATGGAGCCAGCACCTGTGCCAGCACCTGGAGCTGCCCGCCTCACCACAGCAGCTGGTGTCTTCACAGTAGCCACTCCAGAGGGCTTGTGGCTGCCATCAGTTTAGCCAAATAATTGTGGCAAATCAGTCTAGTCTCAGCAGATGTTCACAAAGAGATAGATGATAAATGATAGATGATTAGACACATAGATAGATGATACATAAAATCTTTTTACATGAAGCAAATTGGCAAATAACTGATTTTAACCAGGGAACTCACTGGTAAACTTCATCTTGAGATAGTTTGTTATTAATTAATGGAGAATAACAGAGAAGGGATGATGTTAAAAATAACTTATCTGCATATTTTAATTTTGCACTAACACTTTAGGTAAATTAGTAGTGTGAAAATATGAAGTATGAATGAAGAAGTATCAATTTAAAAGAATTTTATAAATTAGGATAATATAAAATTAAGTTTATTTTGTTTTTATTTTGGTGGCAGTTTGTTAGCCATCTTACAGTATTTATTTATAGGTCTGCTTCATTTGATAAGAGAAGGTTAACAAGAAAGAGCAAAGGTACTGGAACATAAAGAATTACACGCTCAAAAACCTTGTTTAGTTACTGTTTATGAAACTCAGAAATTTGTTATAACTCGGCCGGACGTGGTGGCTCACTCCTGTAATCCCAGCACTTTAGGGAAGCCGAGGCGGATGGATCATGAGGTCAGGAGTTAGAGACCATCCTGGCTAACACAGAGGTGTTAGCCACAGAGGTGAAATCTCATCTCTACTAAAAATAAAAAATATTAGCCGGGCATGGTGGTGGGCGCCTGTAGTCCCAGCTACTCAGGAGGCTGAGGCAGGAGAATGGCGTGAACCTGGGAGGAGGAGCTTGCAGTGAGCCAAGATCGCGCTACTGCACTCCAGGCTGGGCGACAGAGTGAGACTCCGTCTCAAAAAAAAAAAAAAAAAAGAAAAAAAAAGAAAAAGAAATTTGTTATAACTCTCTTATAACAAATTAGTATCCCCATTTATTAAATAGCATGGTCTACAGCCAACCTAATCAGAGTGTGGCAGGGGACTTCATGAGATAGGCAAAGATAGATTGGCAAAGATAAACTTGTTTGGAGAATCTCTCCTCAGCGACTAGTTAAGACGGGTATGGTACATTTCTTTCTACCATGTCCACTTCCTTCTTTCTCCTCATGAAGCCTGGCTTGCCAATTTATGTCATAGGTGATTATGAAATAATTAGAATAAAATTATGGTATGATTTTGTCTTTTCTTTGTACTTTTTTCTTTCTTTGATATAATTCTGACACATCTATTAGCCTTTTCATTTTAAATAAAAGAATTTTAATAAAATACATTAAAAAGGATTCAAAAACACATAATGGCTAAATAGCTATAGAATGTTCAATTCATCAACAAAGGTAGAAATTTACAGAGTCAGTTATCATCAACCCAGAGTATATAACAATTTCAGCAGCTTTTTCTTCTTTTAAAAAGTGGATACAAAAAAAATGTTAAATTATATGTAAGTAACTTTGGATGTGAAACATTCCACACCTTTTATAATCTGTATAGTATATTATTTGAATGAATTGATAAAAATACAGTTTTTCTGTGTATATAGTTTAGCAATTCTTAGAATGATATGGTTTTTAATCTGTATTTGAGTTATCAGTGGTGAGAAAAATATAAACACTTATGTTTTCTTCAAAAGTGTATCTTCGTTAAATCAATTTTAGTGCTTAATGCTTGTCCTATATAAAAAAATTACATTTGACTTTTACAAATTTACATGTGCTACTTTTCAGTCTTTTAAACTTATGACTGGCCCTAAAATGATGATTTTTTTTTAAACATTCAGATGTTTTCTGGAAGTGATGCCCTTTTGAAAGTAAGGATGTATTTCCCAGAACTATAAAGTTATAAAAATTGAAGTAGAATTAGTTAAAAGAAACAATGAGATAAACTTCTCATTATTTAGAAAGACAGTTCATTCAGATGAGAGGGGCGTAAAAAATAGTAATTTTGAACACTGATAAATACTTTATTGTGCTTAATGTGTGCTTCTATTATAGCAGATTAATCTGACGTGCAATTGTGAAAAAATGTTCAAAATTCAGGTCCTTTTGTTCATTATTTTCAAAAATATATCCCATGCTTGCAGCTACATTTTCAAATTTTAGCTACACTTCATAAGTCATATTCACATTGAAAACAAAAAAACTATCAATATGATTATTTTTATTTTTTAAGTAAAAACGTAAAAAAGCTAATGTCAGTGTATGGAATTATATGGTATTTTACTTTTCTGCTGTTAATGTTTTAATTTATAGGAAAGCCTGCTTATACAACTGTGATAATGCAAAAACAAGACAGGAATCTAAAGAGTTAAATAAGCAGCAAGACTAAACTTTAAAAAAAAAAAAAGCTTCCTTTGGAAAAAAAAATTAGATTAAACTCTCTGGTTATACTTTCCTTATGTAGGTGTGGAGATATTTGAATATGTGAAAAAAAACTGCATATGTTTTCTTTTGGCTCTTATAACATTTTTGGTTTGCTTCAGTGGTTTAAAAGAGATTTTCAGAAAGTTCTAACTCTTCCACAATAAAAGCCAGTGTCAGAATTTGATCTCTGCCTACCTGATTGAAGAGAATTAAACTTTAATGCCACATTCTGTAGTCTAGGTTGATAGTACTTTTTCATCAAAGACATTGGGCAGTAAGGAAATAAAAATAATTGCTCATGATGCTTATTGTCAGTGGAATTACTGTATCTCCACAGGTCAGGGCATCTGTACATTTGCAGCATACTTTATTTCTTTAGCAATACCTTTTGTAGGCCAATTTATACAGCTGAAAATTCTTCTTGCCTTCCAATTTTAAAAGCATGATTTTGATTTCTCTTTATCCATAAAAGTTTTCTAAGCTTCTCCCAAAATTTTTCAGTTCAGCAGAACTATAAACCTGATAGTGATATATTGGAAGATAAAAGGATTATATTGTGAGTTTTTTAACTTGAAAGATCAATGTATTTGTATATTTGTGTGTGGGCATGTATATTATAGAGAGACAAAGAAAGACAGTCAGAGAATGTTATTAGTATTTTCCATTTCTGTAGAAATAGACATTCACTTTGCTTACTCTAAAGAAACTGCAGATTAAACTGTCCAATTCTACTTTATTTATGTAGATATTCAGATACTTAAATATGTGAAAAATTTTAAAACTATAAATGTTTTCTTTTGGCTCCTGTAACATTTTTTATTTGAGATAGAGAGATACAGACATAGGTATAAATGTATTAATTATATATGTACTTATATATATTATAGATAGATATAATATATATCATATATTCAGAATAGCACAGGTATAGATTGCATCAGATATGGCCTAGTCACTCTACATAGATCAATTTTTTAAATTAACTATTTACTTAATGAATATTTGTTAGATGCTTTCAACCTAACATATGCTAAAGGCATATGAATAAATTAGATAAATGTCTTAAATGAATAAGCTTACAATATTTTAGTGAAACTTGTAAACAAATGGAATAGAGTATATAAGAACAACACACTACAAGTACATAAAGTTTCAGTGAAAAAATAAAGATTAAACCTACTATATTTTGAGAGATTGTGTAAGGCTTCAACAGGAGGTATGCTTTGTCCTCAATCTCAAAGGATGAGCTTATCACATTGATATATTTGGTATCAAAGCATAAGAAAAAAATGGAAGTAAAGAAAGATGAGATTTGATGGATTACAAGGAACCATCATTTAAATTAAAAAAAAGTAGTAGAGGTAAAACAAAATAGTATTTGTGGGGTAGGATGGAGACTTGTAAAAAATGCTTACTGAACTGATGAAACTGATTCTATAAACAATGAGAGAGGGTCCTTTTGAAGTTTGTAACTTTCCAAGTTTGTAAGTGAGGGAGTTAAATGGTCAAATTTGTATTTTAGAAAAATAATTTTTGGGAGAGGTTTATCTGGTTAAAGAGACAAAGTGCCAAGTACTGCAATGATCAAGGTGAGGGGAATGTGAGTCCAGCTAAAGCAGTATAATGGGAGAAGACAGGGTAGGATCCAGAGAATTTGGAAGGTAAAAATAAAATATTCTGCTATTGATTAAATGTGGGAGTAGAATGAAAAGTCTATTATGACTACTTTACTTAGGCTGGGGTAATTATGTGGGTTCAAATGCAAAAATATCCTGAGCATTTATGCAATAATCATCATCTCCAGTTCAAGTGGGAAGAGAGTTATGGAAGGAAGGAGACTAAGGATCTCCTCCACTTGGACTGGAGACAATGAGTTCAACTCACCAGGAGTTATTAATGCAATGTTTTTTAAGCTAATGATGCAAAAAAAAAAAAAAAAAAAACCAGAAACAAAGAAACAGGCAGAATGAATCTTCAAACCAGGTCTGTAGGCCTAGGAACATAGTCAATTTTAGAATTAATATGCACAGAACTACATGGATAACATGGCATCCGTCGCATGTGCTTGCTTTCTTTTTATCTTTATTTAGATTAATCTAATCACATTTCAAGAATTAAAAGCTTAAAGTAACTTAAAACATATGGGAAGGACTCTGTAGATCCATAAATAGCTTATTTTTAAACATATTTTTTGATATCTCCTAAGCTTCTTATATCTGTATGGATGAAAATTATTCACCAAGCCATTAATTATGTTTTAACATCTTTATGAAAAAGAAGATAAGGAACCTTGAAAATCTTGAGGGAGATATGAGTATGTAATTTTAGAATATGTAAAATTAATAGTGTAATTGATGAATTAAAGACTTTTGTATCATTCCAAGTTAAACACTATGCAGGCATATGTAGGTGTGACAAAATTTCTCTCTGATTCCTTTAGAAAAAAAGTGATCTGCTTCTGAATTTGTTACTTAATATTTATTTGTTACTTTATATTAATACGATTATAAAGAATATAATGAAGAAAATAATGGTTTTAATATATGTATATATATCTAGGTTTATCCATAAAATTTATGTAATATATGAGATATTAAATAGCATTTGAAAATCTAATAATTGGAGCAAGCAGGTGTTTCATGGGTATTGAGGAAGCTCTGAATGTCATCTGGCTTGTTGGCAACATAAATAGACAATTTGCATTTGTGGATTTAGAGATCTCACGGGTATATTGCTTATTTAAGATTTACATGGAGGATTAGGAGATTCAAGCACTTTTATCCAGGCACTGTAGTTTTAACCTATTTTAAATGTCTTATTAAAAGTATTTACGGGAAATAAAAACATATTTTTACATTGTGCACATGTACCCTAAAACTTAAAGTATAATTTAAAAAACCAAATTTTTATAGTAACCTTTATTTTATAAGTATAATCCTAAACTCAGAAAAAATGGAGATAAGCTTTATTTGGCAATTGGTCAATCAGGTGAGATATAATATATGAGGTGTTAAATATACCCTTTTAATCATTTATTTTAAAACACAATATAATATGCTTTGGGAAGACATCAATGCTGGGAAAACTAAGGATTTCTCTGAAAATTCACCCATTTAATTTCAAACGTATGGGTCCATGGAAATGTATTTAGATAACAAACTGTTCAGGCATAAAGTGTCTGTTAACAATAATCTCACATCTCCGAACTGGGAACCTTCCCTGAAGGTCAATTTTTTTTTTCTTTGTCAATCCCTGCTGTGCCTTAAATGTTTAATTCTTCTGCCTTACCTCTTAAAGAGTACGGGTATTCTTGCTATCATACTTATTTTTCTCTTTCCTCACATCTGATCCCATTACTTCTTTTCTTGGTCAATTGTTTGCTGCCAAACTCTGCATAGCATATGTCACAACATTTGTTATTTTGAAGGTAGAGCTGGCTGATATTGATTAACCCGATTAGAATTTGCTAGGCAGGAGCTGAACTTCATCAGATTTTTCTCCTTGTTTGAAATTCCGCAGTATACTGGAGAAATGGATGTGTTTGTGACTACCATGGGAAGCACTCACAATGAAAATATAACTGATGTGAGTTTCCCTTCACCACCCGCCGGAGAAAAATATTCTACATTGCTTAATTTCTCTAAATAATCCCTAAGCCCCAAATTACAAGAATGGTGTAAAATTGAACTTCAGTAATATGTTTTGGTATCTCTCACACATCTTTGTGTCACACAAAAATACCTGAGGCTTAAACGGTGTCTAGGATATGCAAAAGAACAACTCTTCATTGTAATAGAAATGTTCATATTCAACTCCACATTATTAATTTGAGGAAAGTCAGTTCTGCTCTTTCTGGCTCAACGTACAGTACTTGACCAAATATGGAAGTTTGGATACCTCAGAATATAGCGTCTGTGTGTATCGGTCTGATATTTCTCCCTGTAGTTCTGCTATTTCTCCAGAAAAATTGGCAGAATTAGAAGCAGGTGTCCATTATTTTCAGAGCCTTAAACTCAACTGTATATCAAATAACTTGGGATTCACGCTAAAAATTTTTAAGTGGTTGATTGCCCTACTAAATCTCTAACTCCTGTCTCCTACTCCTGTGGGACTGTCTTATATCCTCTCCCCTTAATGGGTTTTTAGAACACACTGCTGGTCTTTTCTTCCTGGAAGTAGTAGTAGAAAAGCAACTGGTCAGCTGTTTCTCTCCTTGCTACTTATTCTACAACCCCTTTCATCAGTAAACCTGTAAGTCTCTTAAAGAATGGCCCATCCCAGTAGCTACATATAAATTTGAGGCACTAAAGGATTCCAGAGATAGTTTGCTTCCATGTAAAAAGCATAATCTTCTATGATTGGGCAAACATGAATAAATAATTATGTAAGTTGGATATAGGTTGGATTTTCAGAAGCATTGTCTTCTTTCAGTACTGCCTCAATAACATCCAGATGTACGCGTTTTTATTTTGTTTCATGCGTGAGCAGTTTTTAATCAACTTAGTTTCAGCATACGTTAGTGCTGTACTTCAAATCAGTAGTTACTTCTCAGTGTAGACTCATCCACGTACGCAAGTCCTGCAACTAGGTCAACACTCTTGTCTCAAAAGCATCTCTCTCCATTTCTGTAGATTGCTATCATTCTACAATGCATAAACCCTCAGTACACATCTGGATGAGGTCCTCACATATAGCAGATCTGAGCATGTATATGTTTGAAAAAAGTACCGCTGTGTTTATTTTTCTCCAAATCAAATTGAATCTAATCTAAAATTCTGTCACAGCTCATTAGGGGATACTAAAATCCAGCCATTGAGTTTACCTGCCCACTGAAGTTCATTAAAAGTGTCAAAAATTGTATTAAATCAAGAACAATTAGGAAACAATATTCTGGTCATTCCAGGTATTTCACCTATGTTTACACGGTCCCTTGAGAGTGAAATGCCATAAAGTTTGATGCCAATCCTGGATGCAGAGATTAATCATGAAGAAGTTCAAGACTTTGGTCCTCAGAATTCAATTCCATGAAGTACCCAATAGCAGTCCTCAAAATTTGATACTGCATAAAAATGTGGCATGATATGTAGAAACATAAAATAATCCTACTAAAAACAATTATAGATATTTGTCCAACCAAGAATGGTGTTCCTTCTCTCATACTCGGGATATCTACTTCCTCTCTATTTTCAACCAACCACCCACTTCATCTTGCGTTTCTTCAATGATATTTGCTTGCTTTATCTACTTCTAGGAAACACAAATATCATGTATAATTTCAAAATAAAAGGCAATGTCTACTTCTTTTTTTTTTTTTTGAGACGGAGTTTTGCTCTTGTTACCCATGCTGGAGTGCAATGATGTGATCTCAGCTCACTGCAACCTCCACCTCCCTGGTTCTAGCGATTCTTCTGCCTCAGCCTTATGAGTAGCTAGGATTACAAACATCTGCCACCATGCCCAGCTAATTTTTGAATTTTTGGTAGAGGCAGGGTTTCACCATGTTGGACAGGCTAGTCTCGAGCTCCTGACCTCAGGTAATCCACCTGCCTCGGCCTGCCAAAGTGCTGGGATTACAGCCATGAGCCACTGCACCTGGCTGGTAATGTCTATTTCTATCCCTGTAGTATAAATGTCCAAGATACAGAAAAGAATAAATGCTTAGCATTGGGCAGTGTGCCTGTGTGTGGGTGGTTGGTGGGGTATAATAGAAGACTTTATCTCAATTATGTATCCTGTGATTTTTTTCAGAAAATCATAGTAATGGGAATTGATTATTTGAATTGTCCCATTTCAAGGAATAAAAACAATGGCCACATATGGCAGGATTTTCTCCTTTTTAAAAGCTGAATATGTATGTATATGCCACATTTTTAAATTCATTTGTTGATGAACACTGTATTAGTCCATTCTCATACTACTATGAAGACATACCAGAGACTGGGGAATTTATAAAGACAAGAAGTTTAATTGGCTCTGGTCAGGCTTCTGCTTCTGGGGAGGCCACAGGAAACTTACCATCATGGCAGAAGGCAAAGGAGAAGTAGGCACATCTTCACATGGTGGGCAGAAGAGAGAGTGAGAGAAGGGGGAGGTGCTCCACACTTTCAAACAACCAGATCTTGTGAAAACTCTATCATGATAGCAAGAGAGAAGTCTGCCCCCATGATTCAGTCACCTCCCACCAAGCCCCTCACCAACGTTGGGAATTACAATTCAATATGAGATTTTAGTGAGGACATAGAGCCAAACCATATCAGACATTTAAATTGTTTCCACAGCTAGGCTATTATGAATAATGCTGCAATGGACATGAAGGTAAAAAAATTCTCTTTGAGATCCTAATTTCAATTCCTTTGCATAAATAGCCTGAAGTGGGATAGCTGCCATATGTTACAAGATGGATGAACTTTTGAGGACATTATGCTAAGTGAAATAAGCACATCACAGAACAACAAATATTTTATGATTTCACTTATATTAGGTATCCAAAACAGTCAAACTTGTAGAAACAGAGAGTAGAATGGTTGATTAACCAGGGCCTGGGGCAAGGAAAAAATGGGGAGCTGCTGTTCAATGGGAATAAAGTTTTTGTTATGCAAAATAAATAAGTTCTAGAGATCCTGAAACATTGTGCTTAGGGTTAAAAATATTGTGTTGTGTGCTTTAAAATGCTGGGCTGTATGCTTAAAAATTTGCTAAGAGAGTATATCTCATGTTAAATATTCTTACCACAAAACAAACAAAAAAAAACAGATGGAAAAATAATTGTTCATAAAGACATTTGTAAAACATTTTCTTAAAATTTCAACTTATGTAATAAAACAGATGAAGAAGAGGAAATTTAGTATAGTCCTTGGACATCAACTATGAACAATGATATTCACTGGAATATTTATTCCTGAAACTCAAGCCATTGAATTTGAAACCGTAAATAAAAAAAGGTAGCTACAACATTTACTGTATTTTGATCAGGTCTAGCATGTGATCTAGTTACATCTGCAATAGCAAATTTACAACCATGTATTAAAGCCACATTTAGGCAAAATTATCCAATATGCATTTGAGCATTTTTTTCATCTGCTAACGGAACTCAATGTTTTTACATTCCCTACTATTACTTAAGATCCTCGACATTAGGGCATTCCTAAAGACTGCCCAGTATTCTTCCTCCCAGGTCATACTTAATTTTTAAAATTTTGTGAGACTTTAGCTATCAAATTCTTACATTTTTGATTTTCAACTATTTTATAGCATATAATTTACCCAAAACATGTAGTGGAATATAGCTAACACTAGCTACAATTGGAATTAATTGATTTACACCAATAAATACAAAGCTTAAGCCATTTACATAGTTATTGAAAATATCCAGTAAAGAATCATTTCTTTTTGGACTCTTCATATTCCATCTGTTCTCATAAATAGTACTAGGAGGTGGCTTTATTTCTAAAGTCATACAGTGACAAGTAACAATGCAAATGTAGGAAGAGATTCTGACTCATTAATTAGCTAAATGACTTTCATACATCAGTTTTGAAATATGCATAAAAATTATGTTTCCATATAATTATGAATTTCTATATATGTTTTATATTTGGAAATATTCTTCTAAAAAATCAGCCATAACAATTAAAGTTATAATTACTAAAGCTCTTCCCTTAATGTTACATCTAACACACACACACACACACACGTGTCAAGATCGTATGAAATTAAAACAATTATGACTTTGACATTGTCAGAGACCGAAACAGGGAGACAGAAAGGAATCCTCCTTTGGAAACCCTTTCTTAGCCTAACATTATACAATATAATAGCTGACTATGCCAAATAAATAAACAACTTTTGGACACGGGTACATGCTGCTTTTGCTGCATTGAAAACAGATTTATCTTCCTAAAATATTTGAATTTCCCTGTGCTTTGGAGTTTTAGGTATTAATCATATCTTTGTTATATTTTCTCAATTTTTCAATGGCAATTGATCTCATATTAGAACTCCAAATTAATGTTAATCTTAAAAATTAACTCTTCACAGCTTGGTACTGCTTAACTTTAGGTAGCAACTAACTGTCACAGCACGTATAATTTTGGTACTATTTTTTAAATGCAAGCCTATGATCATAAACTTGGTGTCTAAAAATTCTCCACAGTAACAATCTAAATTTTATATTTTAATATTTATAAATGTCTAAAAAAATATTTCCTGATTATTTGGATTGTAAATATATGATCTAATGCTGATCCAGAACATTATGAGTTACAGACACATTCTTCTTACCATCATATTGCTGCCTAGTGGTGTTACTTTCATCATTAGAAGTTAATAGGAAATAATTTGGGCAAGGTTAATATGTATATCTAAAAGTGGAGCCAAGTTATATCCACCTGACATCATACCATAATGGATGAATAAAGGCTTCACAGTAGTTTGAATACCCAAAAGTGTGAGAAAATTGAGTCAGTCATTATAAGGAAAAAAATGCAGTACAGACAAGATGAGCTCAACAGAACCTGCACTAGGATGATGAATATCATAGTTATATTGTGAGTGATGGTTTTTCATTCAGAAAACAATGCTATGGACCACATAATAATACTATTATTTTAAACTTCATTAGTTTTGTAGTTCTATGAAAAGTATATTAAAATCTTGTTCCAGTCATATGGTTCTATAAAAACTATAAATATATACGATTAATGCCATGTTTTATGTATATTCTAATTTAAATGACATTCTGGAAATAATGCAATATTGTGAGACATAGCATAATTTTTCCTTTAATATGTGTCTCAAGCTTAAGAAACATTGAATCAGGTATTTAAATCAATTAGTATTTATTAGTTTACACTTTGTACACAGGTTAAAACATTTTTAAATGCAAAACAATACAAAAATGGTTGTAGTTGCTGCCAACAATTAATTCATCACTGATTCAATGTTGTATGCTGCCTTTTTCTAAGTTTTCTCTTTGGTTACACATTCCTGTCCAAATAGCTATTAAAATGTAGAGATAATTTTAAATACTCATGAAAATGTTGCTTTTATAGCAGATTTCTATTCTGTCATAAAGTTGCCTTTTAGATATTTTGAGTTTACTTTTCCCAATTAAGGAGAAGTTAAACAGCTTTATGGTACATTGTGCTTGATGCCCTTTCTGTGTGAATAATATAGTGTGGAAATGGCAAATTTTAGGTCTTAATGAACAAACACCTAATGTATGTGTATGTGTGTGTGTGTGCATGCATTAATTTTAACAACATTTATTTACCAAATTAAAAGTCATTAGAATGTATGTATTTTTTCGTCTTGCTGAGTGAAATTTGCAAATTTTATAAAACTTGTAAAAGTTCAATACTTGCTCTGATCTGAGGCTAAAATGGATTGGATATATTATATGTATTTTATGCACATTATGCAAAACAATGAGCTATGATGAAAGGAGAATGAGAAAAGCTGTAATCCATGCAAACCCACTTTAGGCTTTTATCTACAGGAAGGAAGAAAGAAACAGCATAAGGAGATTAAGTAAAAACTGATGTTTTCAGCATGTGAAAAACTGCATGTAAAACATTGTTCATAATTTTGCAAATGAACTCTAAAGTATAATTTGAAAGATGTTTTTAAATTATGTAGAGAGGAAATTTTTTCCTGCATTTTCATTCTTCTTTTATTAAGAAAAATGCAAAATAAATAAAAAGAATAAGAAAAAATAATGCTTCTGGATAATGTACCACCTTGTTCTTACTTTGCCTTTCAAATACATACCAGAAATCGTATCTTTGAAATGATAACACTTTTGTAAGTTAAACCTTACATAGAAGTAAGAAACAGATGAGAATAAAATGTGATCATGTTCTTATTTCCTTTGTCTACATTTGGCCTTAATGAAACCAAAGTGGAATGATTTTACTCTTATTTAAAATCTACAGTGAAAGTTCTATTGCAATTTGTCTTTGTTTTAGTGACATAAAACTGTTACTGGAAAAATCCCACTGAAATTTATTTCTTTTCAGTCACTTATTTGAAATAAAAATAGTCATAAAAAGTTAATTATTTTTTCTGTATCTTATCGGGTGATTGCTAATTGTTAGATGTACATTTTTTTTCTTGTCTTATGATTGAACTAACTGAATTCATAATTCATCTTTGATTTGGTCATCATTTAAATGCTATAAATAATTATTATACTTCATTTGTTTTTCAACTTTTAGGTTCAGGGGGTGTATGTGCAGGTTTATGACATGGGTAAATTGCATGCCGCTGATGTTTGGTATTCATAGATCCAGTCTACTCTTTAATTTGAAAAGATATTTAAAGACCTTATTCTCTTCTTTCTGTCACATTTTTGCAGTCTTTTTGGTGACTATAAACATACAGCCTATTCTTTTCCTTTCACTTGTTTTTACTTACAAAAGCAAAGCAAAAAAGATTCCTGTTAGTTTCTTCCAGCAAATAAACGTTTTCTTAAAAAACAAATCTAGTGAGAAAATCAATATGATGATAAATGATTTATTGGCTGTTTTTATAAGGATTTATTTGTTGTATCTTCCTCGTAAAAAAAAGAACAAATCTAATGATATATTGCTTCCCACCACAAACTAGTTATAACGAAGATTATTCATATTCCCCTAGCTTTTTGACATTTATATATATATATATATATCATACAACTTTAGAATCCCATCGCTTTCCTTGTAGTAGTCATTGGATGCTGGCTTATCAGATACTTACTGAGCATCTGCTGTGCCATGTAGTATATCAGAAATTAAAATTAGATACAGGAAAAGACACAAGGATTCTTTAAAGAGCTTGCAGTTTTAAAAAAAAGAAAGGCTTACAGTCTTGAGGTTAGAGCACAGGAAGTGGTGTACAGGGGAAGGAGAAAGAGAATTCGATACAATGTGATAATGATAATTTTGGATAAATGGAAAGTATTATGTGAACATATTGTCTAACACAGAATCAGGAAGGGCACCTTGGTATGGGTTACAGCTAAACTACGGTATTAAAAATATAAAGAAAGACATTATTTTAGTGGACAATTTGGTGGTTGGTAGTCCAGTATAAAAAAATTCTTGCATGTTTATAGACTTGTAAGTACATTAATATTGATGGAGCATGTTAGCATGTGTGTGTATGAGAGAACGTGTATGTGCATGCTTCACCCCATGTTCATGTTCCTCTGGTTAAGAAAGGCAGAAGGATGTATCATAAATTGAATGTAATCCAAGCACAAAGAGAGATGGCTGAGAATCAGGGTCTCAAGTGATTTGTGTGCATTACGAAGCAGTTTAGAAAGTATTTCTAGGAATTAGAAAAATTGTTAAAAATCTTGTAAGGAGGAAAATAACAGTCATCTTTGTATTTTAGAAAGATAAATACATTTGTTTCAGTTGAAAATAGAAGTGGATAAGACTGGAATTGTGACTTAGGTCAAATACTATGGTGGCTTGACATTGTATAGTAGCATAGGAAATGGAGATTATTGGGCTGACTGGAGATATATTCCAGTGTTTGAATTGAATAAGTTGTTGAATAACTGGATGGGGGTGCTGAATGAGAGGTTGAAAATTGCAATCACTTTATTGAGGTGACTTACGGGTTTTGGGTTACAAGTAGCAGATTAAACACATCTTTACCACTACAAACTCCACAAACACTACAAAATAACTATTAAAATATTTATTAAAAATGTAATTCCATAAAGCAAAGAAGAGACAAGGACAGGAAGTCACAAGAGAAAAGATGTATTAACATCTTTTTTAAAAATGCCCATTTGTAATTTAGTTTGCAGACAAGAGAAGTAAGTGACAATAGGGAAAGAAATTAAGAAGCAATGAAACTGCCATTGAATAACTCTTTAAAAGATGGAGAATTGGAGACGCTTGCTGCCTGTGAAGGCCAGGTTGTGTGGATGGAGCTGAAACGGGAAGTCACTTGAATATCAGTGTTAGAAGCATTTAGACCCCTGGATACTCTCCATTCCAAGCACTGTTATCCCCTCTACCACGTCTCACGCAACAAACATACACATGAACACCTAAAAACAATTTTGAAAAGTTTTTCTCTGGAAATGTTAAAATGGAAGGAATTTGCAATTTTGAACAATAGGCATCACTAGAGATGGGAGTGCCGTGTGGAAACTGGGGTTAATGGAGGTCTACGCACTGAGTGTTGAAGGTCCACACCTCTCTTCCTACTCAGCTGCCAGATCACAGTCACTCAAGCTTCTGATTTCCAGGCCGTAGGTAGGACCAGCTCCCCCACCTCAGGGAAAGAAAAATTAACAGTTGGAGGTATTACTGAAACAGCCGGATCCCTCCTTGGTCAACTTAATCTGTACCAGATCCTTAAAATTCTGTAAATGCCTAAATAACTTCCAATCTGATATTTAGTTCCTTATTCTTAAGTATGAGCAGACAGATAGGGATTGTTAGATCTCTGGATAAATCTTCTAACACTTAAAACAAACAAACAACCCCAGAAACATTGAAGAGGGAGAAATTGTAAGCAATGTAGGAAACAGAAAAAAAAGCTTCAAAAATATAATTATTATACTCAGATAGACAAGCAGCATATTCACCCATTTAAAAACAACAGTTACAAAGGGGCATGATGTAAAAGGGAAACCCAGATAACAGAAAAAGAGCTTCTCTAAACTGAGAAAATAGGAAAAATTGAAAATTAAAGAGAAAGCTTGAAATATAAAATTAAGCAGATTTCCCAGAAAGCAAATTCTCCCCCAAAGAAAAGCCACACAGAAGTAAAATGAGAAAATGAGAAAATTAATAAAATATTTATACTGATATATATATTATAAAATGTTATATATGTATTATTATCTATAAATAATATATAGACATATTATTAGTTTACATCTGATTCTTAATATTTCAGAAAGAGATAACAGGAAAGAGGAAGTAAAAAGGAATAATTCATTATTGTTTCCTGAAACTAAAGTTCATTCATTTTTAGATTGTGAAGGGCTCAACAAAGGCCTGGAAACAATCAGAATAATGAGACCATTTCAAATTTTCAAATGAAAAGAAAACAGAAAATATTTTCTGAGCTTTTCAACATAGAGAAAAAAAAACAAAGTTTTTAAAAATAATATGCAAAGGATAAGTAAAAATTCTCAAGTATAATATCAAAAGTCATAAGTCAAGGGAACAATGCTTGCAAAACTTTAGGAAAAATGTCTTTCCAATTTTATACCACCCAAACAATCAATCATGTATAGGAATCAAATAATGAATCCAAAATATGGTAATTTATGTCAGGAGTTTTCTGAAAATGCAAGTGATAAAACTACTCTTTGAGCTAGACCTCTCATTGCCTAGCTGGCAATGAGGAACGCACTACTGAGCACACGGAGTCTAGATTCTACTGGCACAAGGGACTCATAAAATCATGCAACTTTCACTGGTGGTGAATTGGGATATATCAGTGAAAGAGGAATCCACTAACTGGTTTGATGTTGAAAAGCGCGAGGGAAATAGTAGCTTCAAGAGCAATTGGATTGCATGCTATTGCCAAACTCTACTGACCTCTAGAAAAAGGATAACAAAATGCTAAGGGTGGTTAACAAGTAATTGAAAGCCAAGAGTGAAACTCAGCAAACTCTCTTGGCAGCATATGAAAAGGGCCTCATCTCCTCAGAGTGAAGTCAGAGAAAGCTGAGTGCCAGCCCCAGGATTTATCACTAGAGTAGCTCCAAAGAAGGTTAAAATTCTAACCAAGGCACAGTCTGCTATGCCAAGGTCAGGTCCCCTGGGGAAGGAATAATTTTTTAAAAAATCATGTTGAGAGACATTTAAGTTTTAAAGAAGGGTGTAAGATTTACAGATAACACCTGGACCAGATGCTCTGAGAGGTAAACCTGGACTGAGAATCAACATCAGCAATTAGAAATTACCTAATATGACCCAGTGGGGACCCCGGTATGGTGTCAAGAGAGATAGAATGAATGACATGATAAAAAAGTAGAACCAGTGCCCCTGCCCCACATGTTGCTGGCAACATGACTGCCCCCGCATATCCCCATGTGTGTAGAACATCATGGTGCCCTGCATTTGCATATTAAAAGACTAGGGTGGGAGAGCCAGCTTTTTCGTGGGCTAGGTGAATGACATGCCTGGTCAAACCAATCCCCTGAGCCCTATGCAAATCAGACACTGCCTCTTCCAACGTCTATATATACACCTGGCTGGTTTCCGCCACACTTGGGGTTCTGTCTCTCGGCTTTGGAGTGCCCACCCCTCTGTCTCTGTACAGGGGAGCTTCTTCCTTCTCCCTTCCTTCTTGCCCCTTTTTGCCTATTAAACCCTCTGCTTCTTAAAACCAAAAAAAAAAAAAAAAATGTAGAACCAGTAAAGACTACCAAGTCTAAAGGTCAAAGCTCAGTCTAGCTAAGCTAGATGGGCTCATTGTAAAACCTGAGTTATATTCTGCTAGAATTTCTAAAATATTCCATTTTTCTCTCAGCCTATACTTTGCACAGTTACGATTATTTACTTAATTCTTTGCAGCATTTAGTGCCTTTATTCCCTACTTGACTATAAGATACACACAACAGGAATTCTTATTTTGTTGGTGATTGCCACACTGGCACATAGGAGGACATTTAGAAGTATTTACTGACATTTTGAAAGATTCAGTTGGGTCTGGGTTAACCTGGATTTGCTATTCTTGACAGTTTTCCCTATCAGAAAATAAGATCTATGATGACAAGGACTTTATCTACTTTATTTAAATTTATACCTCCAGCAACTAGCACAATACATCATAAAAATAGTGCTTGACAAATAATCAAAGTGCAACAAATATTTGTTGAATAAATAAGCTTGGTTTTGGCTATACTGGTAGCTATCAGGTTATGATACTATTACATGATGTTTATTGTCGAGACTGTAAATATGTTTCAGAAGGTGAAATATGTTTATTTTGGGATCCTAAGAACAATCTCTTTGGATAAAGACAGAGTATTTTCATGAGAATAAGGAAGCATATGTTTAAGATGAGAAATTCTAACCTGGTGGTGCTCAATCTTTTTGTCTAACAAAGAGCTGTAGGAATTCTGAAATAAGAAAATTATGGCTGCTTTCAGAAAATGACCTTAGGTAATTTGTTCACATTTTCTCAAAGAAATGAAACAGTTTTAGGCCAGCAAGATTTGGCTATATTCATTTCCAATCAAGACTTAAAGACTGTGAGATTTAAACAAGATTGATTAGTACATACACATAAAAATGCTAGATAAAACATGTAAGGAAAATTTTAACAGCTAACTAAGCTGGAAAGAAAGAAATCCCTAGGGCTAGAAATAAAAAGGAAATTAAAGATAGATTGTATATTTTAGCTGAAACGCTGGCAACTGAAGTAGTGACAGGCTTAAATATGCATTAGAACATTTTCTTGAAATTGCAGTTCAGGATTTATTTTTATTTGATTTTTTAGAAATGGAGGTGTTATGTTGCCCAGGTTGGCCTCATACTCCTGGGTTCAGGAGTTCCTCTCAGCTCAGTCTCCCAAGTCACTGGAATGGTAGGCACAAACCACCATGTCCAGCTTAGGACAGGATTTTAATGACTGTTACAGAAACAGAAGACATCTTGTGTTCTCCCAAGTCAGAGGGCAGAAAAGGGGCCTCGAATACAACTGATCTAAGGGCTGTACAATCTGTGAACTGGAGACCTAGAGACACTTTACACATCAGAACAAAGCAATACTGATATTAAGAGAACTTTCTATCCAACACAAGCAATAAGTGAAGGGGAAAAAAAACCCGAGAATTTGAAAATGCCAGTCTGTGTGAAAAGTGGTTGATGGCTTGAATTTACACAGTCATTTGTTATAGAAATCCAAACAACAACAACAACAACAACAAGCAGTAATATAAAAACTGATCTAAGACAGCTGAAACCTCTAGAATGAAATAATTTACTCAACAAGTAATTATTGAGGTTTATGATGTGCCAGGCTCTCTTCTGGTTCAGAGGACATAACAATGAGTAAAGCAGTCAAAAAATCCTGCCCTCAGAAATCTTAAATTCC
This sequence comes from Homo sapiens, assembly GCF_000001405.40. NCBI lineage: Eukaryota > Metazoa > Chordata > Mammalia > Primates > Hominidae > Homo > Homo sapiens. Next base: position 64,784,494 of record NC_000006.12, on the reverse strand, counting down.
AGTAAAGGGGGAAGACAATAAGCAAGATAGCTAGCAAACCATATTACCTATTCACAGTGCAACAATGTTAGTGTTTGTGACCAAATAAAAAGGTTTAAAAAAACTTAATAAAGCTTCACAAAATAAAAATGAAATTATAGGGAATAGATCTTATATCACGGACATATATATAAAGTATATACAACTGCTACACTAATAATCTAATTTAAAAATTAGGAAAAAACAATTATTTTAAAGATAGTAGAAGGAAGGAAATTTAAAAAATAAACAATGAATACAAATTTACAGAAACAAAAAAGAAAAGAAAGATAATTCAATAAAAATAGGTAAAACTCAAAAATATTGATTAGAAAGATATCACAAATAATATTGAGAATTATAAAAATAACTTAAGTGTTGGGATAGTTGATGTTAATCACATATAGTAACCAATTAAAAGCAAAGTTTATGGTAAGCTTCAAAATATGTACATAAACTCTGTAAGGTCATGAACATACCATATTCTCCCCTCCAGATAACATTTAAAAGTAATATTTTGATTAAATTTTTGTTAAATTTATCTCAAAGAAGACTTTCTGTCTCTAAAATAATTTTCAGTTTTGAGAATCATTGACTGAACTAGGGTTCCTAAAGCAGAGTTGGGGTAAAGAAAGTTCGAATCTACTTTTGGAATATTTAATACTTTGGAATGTTAAAAAAATTTGGATGATTAAAGCCTTTGAAATTTGCTGACAGTCTTCAAGTTCTCAAATGAAAGATAAAAGCTTTGGCTAAAAAATTATAGCATTTTAAAAATTGTATTCATTGACTATACATGTGTATTTTTAAATGGTATAGCCATTGAAATATTATTGAATTCTGATTTCCATCTTTATTTACATAGGACACATTTTACAATTTGTATTTATGTATCAGCACAATATGTATAATAATTTTAGATATGAAAAGCCACATAAGAGAACGTGAATATAGTTTTACCTGAATTTCTTAAAATTAATTTTCCTTTAGCACATAATGAAGATATAAATTGATTGCAGTAGAGTAGTTCCGCCTTCCCCATGGCAGTAAGACCTCTAGCAGATGACTGAATCCACGGATAGTACTGAAACCTAATTATATTATGTATATATAATATGTATATATGTATATAGGATATATGTATATAGGATATGTATATAGGATATGTATATGTATATAGGATATGTATATAGGATAAGGTTTAGTTCATAAATTAGGCACAGTAAGAGAATAACAATAATAGCTAGTAATGAAATAGGACAATCATAGTAATATTCTGTAATAAAAGTAAAATAAGGGTTACTAGGACACAAGCACTGTGATACCATGACAGTCAATCTGATGACCAAGATGGCTGCTATGTGACTGATAGGTGGGTAGTGCCTACGGTGTGGATACTGGACAAAAGGATGATTCACGTCCCAGACAGGACTAAACAGGGCAGTGCACGATTTCATCACACTACTAAGCATGGCATGCAACTTAAAAGTTATGAATTGTTTATTTCTGGATTTTTATTTAACATTTTGAGAAGATGGCTGACCATTGGTAATTTAAACTATGGAAAGCCAAGCTCCAGATAAGAAAGGACTACTGTAATGTACTTGAATCGTAAATACTAAAAATACAAGTGCCCTAAAATGAACCAGTGATAAATTACTTAATGGTGAACAAAAAATATATGTAATTGAGAACTGGCCTATTTTCATAACTTTAAACTATTCTTTTACATATGGACTTTAATGGCACATTTATTTCATCTTGAGATTAATATAATCAGATGCATTGGTTAAAACATACAAATAAACTAGGAGATAGACCCAATAAACTTGAAATGAAGAAAAGTAATCATCCATCACCATCATATGCAGTTAAGTTTTTTAAAGAGAACAGTTTTTTAATGTGGAATGCACTTATCCTAGCTTAAAAATTAGAAGGAAAAAGAGTATATTAGTCTATTAAATATTATTTAAAGGAAAGCCTTACTTTAGTGTCAGTCCTTAAAAGATGGGCAGTATCTGAGAGATATTTCCATGTTCATTTTGCAAGCTAAATCTCAATTAATATTCATGAAAATTTCGTTGTGCCTGCTTCATGACCCTAAATAGGGTATTGACTATTTCTGCAGGTAAGCCTAAAGCAAGACACATTTGTTTCCTCTAAAATAGAGTTTCAATATTCTGGAAGGTTCACAGTGTGATTATCAATTGTAGACTGCAAATTTGTAATCTACATTGAATTGCATTTAAGAATTCTCTCAGATGACAAGTATGGGGCATAAATACAGATGATAATCTATTTTGTTTCTACAACATTCTTGTTAAAACATATGATCTGCCAATAACTTATGAATACCAACCTTAGTGTTTCCAAGAGACATTGTAAACACTAAATCTTACAGACATTTAAAAGTGGGCAGTCAACAAGACAAAACATCGTTTTACTGGTGAAGAAATTGAGGCCCAAAGAAGTTAAATGGCATAGCCAGGAAACAGATGACTAGATTTCCTGATATAATCAATTTCATATCCACTGTGCCATATTTAGCATCTTCAACCATTTCATGTTTTATGAGAGGAAACATAATATGAGTTATGTTGGAAATTCAATTTTTCACACAGTAGTTAAACAGTTTTATAGCAGGCATTATTTTTATTTTTGCACACATTCCCTGATGACTTTGAAAATGAGGAAATTATTGGGGGTAGTGGGGCTTGTAGCTTGTTCTCCAATGTATGAAAAAGAAAACCAGGATAAAATTGAAAACTTGATAGCAGTCATCAACCAACACAGAATATCATAGTCAACATGACGCCCAAGGGCTGAGGGTTATCCATATCTGGATTTGTTGTGTGGTCATGGCCTCATAAGTGTCATTTCTTTTTTTTTTTTTTTTTTTTGAGACGGAGTCATGCTCTGTCGCCCAGGCTGGAGTGCAGTAGCGCAATCTCGGCTCACTGCAAACTCCGCCTCCTGGGTTCACGCCGTTCTCCTGCCTCAGCCTCCCAAAGTGCTGGGATTACAGGCGTGAGCCACCGCCCGGCCATAAGTGTCATTTCATATATCTTATAGGAGGTTTGATTGATAAATAATCGTTAAACATAGTGAGCCTCAACCTTGTCTGCCTATTAGAATTACTGACGAATTTTTATACAAACTAGATGCCTTAGTCCCTATCCCCACAAATTCTGATTCAATAGGTCTGTGGTGGGGCTAGCTTATCAGTATGAAAGACACATGCGATATTTGGGAAATACCTATTCTAAAAAAAATGTTCATTATTTACCTGAAATTCACATTTAACTGGGTATCCTCTATTTTTATTTGCCAAATCTGTCAACTCTACCCTGCAGGCACTTCCTATCCTCTCCTGGTAAGAATTTGTCCCTGTGACAGACAAGGATTCTAATACCTTGAGTCTTGAGTACCACCTCTGTCCTAGAATCAATAGAATCGATGAATATAAAACATATTAATTTTACAAATCAACTGTGATGTAAAGAAATATAAACCTTATCCCCTTATTTTTGTTTCTTAATTTCCCACATTAGACTGTTATTTGAGAAGCATATATACACATTCATTCCTTTGCCTGTGAATTTATTCTTAGAAAATAATTCCAAGACACTGGTGAAAGGAAATAAAAAATGGTGAATTCCTCTATAGAATAATTTTTTTAAAGAATATTTTTGGCAAGAATTAATAATTATTTTATAAATTTCATGGTCTTCACTTGGGTCACAGGATTCCAGCTATCCCAGATGAATTAATTTATTTTTTGCCTTTCATTGCAGGATTATTTTATTATTATTATGGATTAGGGAATATGTGTTCAAGTTTGTTACGTGGATATATTGCATAATGGTGAGGTTTGGCTTCTAATGCATCCATCGCCCAATAATGAACATTGTACCCAACAGATAATTGTTCAACCCTCAACCCCGTCCTTCCCTCTCCCCTTCTGGAGTCCCCAGTGTCTGTTATTTCCCCATCTTTAAGTCCATGTGTGCCCATTGGTTAGCTCCCACTTATAAGTGAGAACGTGTAGTATTTGATTTTCTGTTTCTGAGTTATTTCGTTTAGATTAATGGCTCCATCCATAATTCTTTCTTCAGTAGTAATAATCCTGATGTTTAAAAATCCCATCTACCATTTTCTTTTCTTCAACCATTATATTTTTCATATGTCAAAAATCCACATTTAAATAAAATCTTATTTCAGCCTCTTATTACTAGTGTCTTCCTTTACATACATAAGGCTAAATGACATGGTTATTTTTAATCCTTTGATTTAAAATCTGCTTCATTTACATATGTCATTTTTCCTTTATATTGGTGATCTCTCCCAGATATCTACTTATTTAGCTCATGTTCACATGGAGATATTAATCTCTAGTCTCTATGTTCAAAAAGCACAAAAACCAAGCCCTGGATTGTGTTCATTCTTGAGTTTAAGAAGAGATTAAGATGTTGTTATTTCATATCTCTTTGTAGTTAAGTATTGCATAAATCTAGAGAGCATCATTTATATAAGTTAGCATTTATGGTGGCCCTTGGAGAGAGGTGATCCCCAGGCAGGAGAGCACTAGTAATTACTAAACCAGTTCCAGCCTCTCCATTTTATCACTAATCTATCAAACAGCATTTTAAAATAATGTTTAATTTATAGCTCTTATGTTTTTGAGCAGTTTTAGTTTTACAGAAATATTGAGTGAGAAGTGGGAAGAGTTTCTATAAACATATCCCTCCTTCCACCCCAGTTTCCTCTTTTATCAACATCTTGCATTCATGGGACACATTATAATTGATAAGCTAATTTTGGTACATTATTGTTAACTAAAGTCCATGTTTTACATTAGAGTTCATTTGTTGTGTTGTACGTTCAATAGGTATAACTAATGTATAATGGCATGTATCCACCATTACAGAATTATACAGAATATTTTAACTGCCCTAAAAATCCTATGCTTCCTCTATTCTTCCCTTCCCCCAACCCAACTCCTGGCAAACGCTGATCTTTTTATAGTCTCCATGGTTTTTTCTTTCCAGAATGTCATATAATAAGAATCATACAGTATATAGACTTTTCAGATTGGCTTCCTCACTTAGCCATATGGGTCTAAGTGTCCTCCATGTCATTTTTGTGGTTAGGTAGCTCATTTTTCCATCCCTGAAACATATTCTATTGTATAGATATACTTCAGTTCATTTATTCATTCACCTACTGAAGAATATTTTAAATACTTCCAAGTTTTGGCAATTAGAAACAAACCTGCTATACATATTTGTGGCAGGTTTTTGAGTGTACACAAATTTTCAATTTACTTTGGTAAATTCCAAAGAGTGTAATTGCTGGATTATATGGTAAGAATATGTTTACTTTTGTAAGAAACTGCCAAACTGTCTTTCAAAGTGGTTGTATCATTTTTGCAATTTCACCAGAAATGATTGGGAGTTCCTGTTGCTCCGCATACTTGCCAGTATTTGGTGTTGTCAGTGTTTTGTGTTTTACCCATTCTAATAGGTGATGTAGTGATGTTTTAATTTGCAATTCTCTGATGACAAATAGCGTGGATAGCTACATATGCTTATTTGCCATCTGTACATCTTATTTGGTGAAGCATCTATTGGGATCTTTTGCACATAATGTAATTTTGTTGTTGTTGATGGGTTTTAAGAAATCGTGTGGATAGCTACATATGCTTATTTGCCATCTGTATATCTTATTTGGTGAAACATTTATTAGGATCTTTTGCTTGTGATGTAGTTTTGTTGTTGTTGGTGGTGGTTTTTAGGAGTTTTTGTATATTTTGAATACCAGTTCATTATCAGTTAATGTGTTTCGAAAATATGTTATCCCAGTTGCTGGCTTATCTGTCATTCTCTTGACCAAGCCACATTTTTTAGTGAGAGATTCATGTTTAAATTCTCAGAGAGAAGCAGCCAACGAACAAGAAGCTCTCTTAGTTGTATTCCATTATAGCTGGGTAGACCTGTGTGACAAAAGAAGAGAAGAAAATGCCCAAGGGCAGATTGTCTTCCCCTATTGTTTGCATAACCCTGATGGATATCTTGGGTTATTTTCATTTTAGACCACTAGTGCTTGGAGCCTAAGATTTTGCAGATTTTGCAGATTTCTTTGGATGCTGGACAAGCAACATTTTATTTAATACCTTGAAGCTCAATTCAAATGTGTCTCCTCTCCTTTTCTCTTCATGAGTATTCATATTCTCAACTTCAAAACAAGAGGTAAGATCACTACTAGAAGATTCAGACAATTACCAGTCAAGGCAAGAAAAATTCTTCACCAATCATGAAGGCATTCGCTCCTGTCCAAGTTCTTCTGGCATCTGAGAGATATGTAAACACATTCTGGATTCTTGGCAGTAATGAAACCTTGGGTTATTCATCACTATCATATTACTTCTAACAATCCTTTTCTAAAAGCAATAGATTAAGTCAACTAGATAATTTAAAAGGGAAACATATCTTTGTTGTTTAATTGGGTTGGAATCTCATTGAAACTTAAGAATTATCCTTAAACATTCATATTCTTAATTAATATATCTATGATACTGTAATATTATCTACTGGAATTGAATATGTACACAACTCTTTGTTTTTATTAATTCCTTCAAAGTGTTGAGATTATTTTCAAATTCATGGCAATTTCCTCAGATTAAAATAGTGTGTTGTTGTTAGCATTTAGGATTGCTGGAAAAAGTATAAAATAAATTCATGGAAGTTTTTATTTCTCCAGAATACCTTATATATGAACCAAAGGATGACTATTTGCAAACATTTTATTACATACAGTTTATAGTGTTCATTACTTGCAACCTTTGTGGCAAAGCTTTTATTTAGAAGTAACAACTTTGCTGTGATCTCATTAGGAAACTAATCAATATATTAGCAATAAAGCAAGTATAAAACACATTAAGAAAAGCCCCAAACCCGTTCATTACTTCTTGGTCAGAGGGTGATATTTAAGGCACTATAAACACAGAAAAATAGGTGCAGAGCCTTAAGTACCTTATTTTTTTGTCCTTTTAGATGCCATTTCTTTCTTTTGTTTATTTAACTTTATTGGATTCAACACTCCAACAGCATGTTCACCACCAATTTAGGGTCATTATTTATCAAGTGCTTTGAGAATCTAAGGTATAAAGAATAATACCTAAAATCATGTTAATATCTATAAACTAGAGTTTCCACTTAATACAACAGTCTGCCTTGTCTATTTTATATCCCAGTCTACTATATAATTAGATAACATCTGATATGGTTTAGCTGTGCCCCACCCAAATCTCATCTTGAATTGTAGTTCTTGAATGTAATTGAATCATGGGGGTTCCCCCCATCTTGTTCTCATGATAGTGAGTTAGTTATCATAAGATGTGATGGTTTAAAAAGGGGCTTTCCCCTTCACTGGGCTCTCATTCTCTCTCCTGCTCTCCTGTGAAGAGGTGCCTTCTGTCATGATTGTAAGTTTCCTGAGGCCTCCGCAGCCATGCCGAACTGTGAGTCAATTAGACCTCTTTCCTTTATAAATTTCCTAGCCTCAGGCATGTCCTTATAGCAGCATGAGAATAAACTAACATAACATCAGAAATCTAGCAAAGATCCCAATGACAGGAATGTTCCTGTCTCACTTAGTAAGCTAATGAAGCATAGGAAAAATTTTCAGCAAGTGTCAACTATTTTAGTCTAAGATACCAACTGGACAGTGTGGCAAGTGTTATTCATTCCCTAAGCACCAAAAGCATTATTACTAATATAATTACATTTTTATTTGAAATATATGTGAAAGGCTAATGATGAGACATGTGATGAGCTCAGAAGAGTCCCACTTTAAATATAGTACATATAGATAGCCTTAATATTTCTGATAATTTCATATAACTACACACAAAGAGCAGTAGTCAGCAAAAAAAAGGGAATAGAATTTTTCCTTCAAAGAATAGAAAGCCTTTCAGATAGCCAGAGAATATATTTAAATAGCATATAAAGGATTATATTTTTCCTATATATGTTTTTAAATGTCTCCTTATAAAACCTGCAGCACAGTGAAAAATCTTTGTCTGGTGTTATAGATTGGCGTAAACCCTGCAGTTCTGTCAGTATATCTTTTATGATGTAAATAGGATACCCTATAGCTATTTCCTGAGTAATTTAAAACTCATCCTGTGAAACTTCATAAGCCAGGGAAATAGGAAAAGCATATCTGGCCAGAAAAACAGGTTTGCTCGATCTCCTCAAGCAATGAATTTTTAAAAGATTTGCTTAAAACAACCGAGTATGTCAATTGGCAATATCAGTCCACATATGAGCTTTCAAATGCTCTCTTTCTAAGCCCAGGCAGCTGAGTGATTTGTGTGATATTTGATTTTTAGTTTTTCAGCAGCCCGTTTTGATTTAGTGCTTTCTGCATTTTTATAGACATCAGCAATCCTGTAGCAGGTCCTGTTTGGCTGATACATTTTACAAGTTGATAATAGTAAAGGGTGTGTAGAGATAGAACCTGATATAGATGTGTTCTTTTGAAGCATCATCATTACTGAGAGATAAGTCTACATAGAAACAAAACACAAAACAGCTAGCAGCTATATTTTAAATTTTTGATTCAACCAAAAAATTAGATATATTGTACTACCTTGATGTTTATCCCCTTTTCTACATATTTGTGATGTTTTGAATATTGAATAGGAATTCATGAAGATATTTCCAAATAAAAACAAAAATGATATTGGAAATTTTTATAATAGATTGTAAATATTTGTCTTTCAAAAATACTGTGGTCCTGACTTCCAACTGCTATAGGTAGGATTACTCTTAAGAAAATTTTGTGGCCTAGAGAAAAACATCAATATTTGGAGAACATGTATGACAGAAAAGAGGATTAACATGAAATGTTTGATTTTTTCCTATAATCTCTTTCTTAGATTATATTTAATCTTCCCAACAATAATTTATTACATACATTTTTATGCCCGTTTTATAAAAGAGAACAATGAAGCTCCTAAAATTTAATAACTTGCCGTGCGGTGGTTCAGTTTTAAGTGGCAAAGTTGGGGTTTGAACCAAGGTTTATCTTCTATCCTATTGCCTCAGGATAATTTTATTGAGGTAAAAGCATGTCAAAAATTAACTATATGAACAGCCTTTATGGGAGGCAAACAAGAAGTTACCTAATGGCTGGATGTGGCCTTGCAAGGATGAGCAGAAGTCTATTTGGTTTAGAGGAGTTACTCAAGGTGGCAATGCAGACCACACTTGTTTTGTTTGTCTGTTTGTTGACTCATATTTTACTGATTTTTAGAAATAATTTGATTTGGAATGTCTTTAAACAGTCGTAAGGTTTTCAGCAGTTACCCCCTCCTGCTGTTTTATCCCAGGAGAGTTTCACTTGTTTACATTATCTGTCACGGACATCTCTAGGCATTCGAGTTTGCACTCCCTATTTACAGGCTATTTACTTATCTGATAGGCACTAGAAATACCTTTCCCTAGTGACAAAAACGAGTCTGTAAGATAAACATGAAATAGTTGCAAATACAAATATTTTATAGCACTCTAATTTAGTGCCAGAAGAAAGAATTAGATTTAAGCATGTCAAATATCAGAAAAAGGCAAGGTGTCAGATAAGGGGTCATAAATTTAGGAAAGGAGAGAGTTACAGGGAAAGATGGGCCCAAAATTTAGTCTGAGAAAAGTAAATTTTACAGTGGGAAGTTTCAAATCAAGGTGAGGAATTTGGAGTCTATCTGATTGGCCAGATTAGGGCTGACTGAGACTTAAGCAGCAGGCACATGTTATCAGGAGATTCAGTTTTAGGAACTATAATTTATACATAACAGACTGAGGTTCAAGGACAGAAAATGAAGTCCTTGTACTGGCTATTAACTAACTTAAGCCACAGATCCACATAGGACCCATTGCTGAATTGAGAAACTGGTGTATGGAGGTAAATGGTGAGCTAATGCTATAATCTACTCCACACTAAGCAGATGCATGGTGATAGCAGGTACCTTTATGCTTTCCCTTCCCTCTGCAGGTCTAGGTGTGCTCCCAGATTGAGTGGAGATAAATCTGCAAGTCAACATTAAATAATACCAATCACAAGCCTTTGCAGTTACAACTATGGACTTATGTTAACATTTTCCTGCTGTTTCCCCTTCCTTATTCCGTAAAAGAAGAGGGATTATAAGGAAAGATAAGAGGAGACACCTTGAAAAATTATCTTCAGTTTCCCCAATCTCTCCCCAAAAATTAATCCTGGGAAAGCCTCAGAAGTGCAACCAGGATCACGTGGGTAGAATCTAGAGTTTTTGTGTATTTAGTGTTCTGTATTTTTATAAAACAAAATGCATAAGTATGTGTAATAATGAAAGGTAATTCATAAGGGATTTGACAGAAGTAAACAAAAATGCTCCAGTCTTACAGTAAAGACCTCATTATCTGGACATAGGATCTGGCAAAGTTTTCATGATAAAGATGCCAAAAGCAATTTCAACAAAAACAAAAGTTGACAAATAGGACCTAATTAAACTAAAGAGCTTCTGCACAGCAAAAGAAACAATCAACAGAGTAAACAGACAACCTACAGAATGGGAGAAAATATTTGAAAACTTGAAATGTGCAAGCAAAAAACAAACAACTCCATTACAAAGTGGGCAAAGGACATGAACAGACACTTTTCAAAAGATGACATACAGATGGCCAACATACATATGAAAAAATACTCAACATCTCTAATCATTAGAGAGATGCAAATCAAAACCACAATGAGATACCATCTCACAACAGTCAGAAAGACTATTATTAAGGAGTCCAAAATAACAGATTCTGGTGAGATTGCAGAGAAAATTTAATGCTTATACACTGCTGGTGGGAATGTAATGTAGTTCACCCATTGTAGAATGCAGTCTGGCAATTTCTCAGAGAGCTTAAAACAGAATTAACATTCGATCCAGCAATCCCATTATTGAGCATATCCAAAAGACTATAAATCGTTCTACCATAAAGACACATGCACATGTATATTCATTGCAGCAATATTCACGGTGGCAAAAGCATGGAACCAACCTGAGTGCTCATCACTGGTAGACTGAATTGAGAAAATGTACATATATACCATGGAATATTATGCAGCCATAAAAAAGAATGAGATCATGCCCTTTGCAGCAACATGGATGGAGCTAGAAGCCATATCCTAAGCAAACCAACTTAGGAACAGTAAACCAAATACCACATGTTCTCACTTATAAGTGGGGATTAAACATTGAGTACATATGAAAACAAAGAAGGAACCAACAGACACCAGGGACTACTTGAGGGTGGAAAGTGTGAGTAGGGTGAGGATTGAAAAACTACCTATTGAGTACTATTCTGAAAACGTGGGTGAAGAAATAATCTGTACACCAAATCTTTGTGACATGCAAATTATCCATGTAACAAACCTGTCCACATCCCCCTGAATTTAAAAGTGGAAAAGAAAAGTTGAGAAAGGATATGTCACTCTTCCTCTTTCTGTATCCACATAACCTAATGAACTATGCCATATCCATGTAGAAGAAGTTTGAGGAAACCTTCCTAGTTAGGACGCAGGTATCCTGAGAACTACATACCAACAGAACAAAGATATATTTGCAACAACGTGGATGAAACTAAAAGACATAATGTTAAGTGAAATAACCCAGGCAAAGAAAGACAAATTTCACATGTTCTCACTTATTTGTGGGAGATAAAAATTAAAACCATTGAACTCATGGAGAAAGGGAGTAGAACAATGATTGCCAAAGACTAGGAAGGGTAGTGGAGGAGGCAGAGTACGTAGGGATAGTTAATGGATACAAAAATATAGTTAGATAAAAGTGGTAAGTTCTAGTATTTGATAGCACAACAGCATGGCTACAGTCAACAGTAGTTTACTGTAGATTTTAAAATAACTAAGAGACTATAATTGAATTGTCTGTAACACAAAGAAAGGATAAATACTTGAGGTGATGGATATCCCATTCACCCTGATGTGATTATTATGCATTGTATGCCTGTATTAAAATATCCCATGTACCCCATAAATGTATACAAAAACTATGTAACTACAAAAATTCAAAAGAAAAGCTGATACAGCTACTTACACAAATCAACAGATACTCATATTCAAAACTAATTAGACAACCATGTTCACAAACTTTTGAAAAACAACCAATATGGAAGATGAAGACCATGCTAAACAGGACAGCTGATATAGGAGAGAATGTATGAAAGTCTACCCCAAAATGGATTCCCTAAAAACAGATTAGTTAGACTGGAAAACACCAACCATGTATTATTCTCAAAAAGATGAATAAAGATATATTTTTATAAAATTAATTGTTGGTCAAAAATAACAGGAAAATGCCAAAAAAGAAAGAAGGATTCCATGTGAAAAACTACTAAATGAAACAGGATATTTCTTATTATATTAACATTTTGAAAAATAATAAAGCAGTATCTATTTACACGAGAGATGAAAAAATGTTTAAAATACAATCAAATAGGAACTTCTCTCTGAATACAAAAGATAGATTAAAAACAATAAGAACACAGAATATCTGCATAATGCAATGAGGTGACTAGTTCTTACATTTAGAACATTGCATACAGCAGACAAAAAGGGAGCCTTCTTTTGAGACATGAATAAACTCAGAGCAAAATGAACATGTATGAAAGCACAAGATAATCAATAAATTCTGTAAGGCAGAAGTCTTTTAGACCATATTTATTGAACACAAAACAATTTAAAAATGAAATTAACAACAAACTAAAATGAAAGCAGCTTACAGAATTCCTAAGATGAAAGTGAAATCAAAACAGAAGTTATAAGCTGTTTAGGAATGAATTGCAATGAAGCCCTACATACTAAAAACTTATGCAAAGTAGTACAAAGAAAAATGTGTAATGTGAAATGTATGCAGTAAACTTAATAGCAATTTATAATGGATAAATTAAAGCAAGTAAGCTAAAGAAAAATAAGAAAAACAAATTAATTCCAAAATAAGTAGAGAGAGCATTCCTAAGTAAAATAGAAATCAAAATCAATATGAAATAATACAGGAACATCAACATATAAAGTAATGACAAAAGTGTAGATTTTATCAACAAAAACACAAGATAGTTATTTGAAAAGTCTCATAACATAGGCAAATATTTGGCAATTCAGAAAGAGGAGAATCACAAATACTAGGAATAAGAAAGGGGATCTAGCTATAGATACATAAGAAATTTGAGACTAGAAATTAATACTATATACAATAATATAGCAAAAGTTTGAGAAATTATATATATAGCATAGAAGGAAAAGTGAAGAATTTGAATAGTTGTTAAAGAGAATGAGATTATGGAATGAGAGATATCCTGGAATCAAAGGAATAGCAAGTTTCAGAAGGGGAATTGGCGCTCATCAGTGTTAAATATCAAGGAAATTTCAAACAGACAAGGGCTCAGTTAAAACAATTGTATTTGGCAATTTGGACTTGTTTGAATTGCAATATATTATATCCCTCTTGATCAAAAAAGTATTTATTCCTCATAATTATGAGTTTCTAAGAATGTACAAACTTCTGCTGTGCTGTAGAAGGAAGTAACCTACAAAGACGGGCTCTAATGTCACAGACTTCAATATTTTTAAAATGCTTTGTACAAACTAAACCTTCGGTTTGTAAATGCAAAAGCTCATTTGAGGTTCCTTTATGAATACTGCTACTAATAATAATAATTCACCTAGAAATATGATGCATTTTAAAGAGCACTTTGACTGTGATAGTGATGTTGCATACCTTCAAAGTCTTTCCAAACTCACCTACTGTAAAGCTGCACCTAGTTTCGACGATTGAGTTTAAAGGAAATTTAGTGAAACAGTGAACCTCAGAAGCACTGGCAACCATTATGGGTCAATATGTCTACAATTTCTATTAAAGTACACTGGTGAGTTAACCCATTTTCATATGGGATAAATCCTTTTGGAATTGTTTTTAAAACAATTAGTGATCACCACCACTACTCTGAGAATAGCTTGTTTGTCTTTTCTGAATACGACTGTTTGAAATAATCATACCTATATAGCTTTCCATGTTCTTTTTATCAGCGGACAAAAAACAAATAGTATTTGATATAATTTCTTTAAAACAATAACTTTTCATTTCTTTACAAACCATTTCTATTCCTGTTTGTATATACATATCCTTTCCACCTGAAATATGCTTGTATAATTCTTTTAAGAGGTAGTCAAAAGAAAGTATTAATAGGGACTGGTCTCAAAACAATCTCTCAAACTTCAGTGGTAGGCTTTCCTACTCCTTGCTAATAAGAAAACATTTCTAGAATCTACTAAGCAGTAAAACAAAGATTGAGAGACAAGCAATTTCTGTTGTTGAAGTCATTGTCAAACTTATGTAAAGGAATATAAGGATAGAAGTAAAAAAAATTATTTCTACCAACAATAATAAATGAATATTTATATTTATATATATTTACATCTGTATGTGTGTGTGTATATATATACATATCTGAAGCAGAAACATATTTGAAAAGTAGATATAGTCTTGACAAAATCACTTTAGCTCTTCTTTAATACTTTTAGTTCCTTAAACTTGCTTTGCTCTCTCTTGATCTCCTTAACCTCCACCAATGCTGGTCCTTTAGCTTGACACCTTATTCTCATGTTCAGCTGGATGCCTTCTTTCCATCTTTCCTACCTCAGTTTTTCATCTCCTTCAGGAAGAATTTCGTGGTTCTGTAAGATCAAGCTGGATACATTTTTTAGGTGATCCAATCATATCCTGCCCTTTTTAATCTTAGCATTTATAAAACGATGTTTAAATCACCTGGTTATTTATTTACTACATGTGTCTGTAGTCACTAAATTGGCTATTACACAGGTGGGAACTATGTAGGCCAAATCCATCTGGACACCCATTTTTGTACTGCTCGTGAGCTAGCAATAGTTATTACATAGCGTAATGGGAAAGCAATTTTAAACTTATGATTTAAAATTTTAAAACAAGAATAATATTTAATAATGTGAAAATTATATAAAATTATATAAAATTTAAACTTCAGTGTCTATAGAGTTGTATTCAAATACAGCTGTGCTCATTTATTTCTGTCTTTCTGTGGCTGCTTTTGAGCTAGGCAAACAGAGTTAGGCATTCTTTAGAGCAAAAATAATACTAAATACTCATTTACATAAGAACACACAGTTCAGCTGGTATCTGCAGAACATCTATAAACCTAAAAAGAAATGATTTAGGCCTGTAATAGTAGAGTGAGGCGCACCTTCTTTAGTTGCTGTCCCATTACGCCATGTAGTTTTCATATAAGTATGATAAAAAAGTAATGTAGGTTCTTATTTTCTACCTGCAGAATTAGATCTATTTTTGTCTTAATATGAAAGTGACTAGCTGGCATTGGCTTGGAGTGTAGCAAACAAGCCACAAGGTGACTCAAGGAAGCAACAGGATCTAGCTCCATTCATACACAATTGCCAACACTTTTCCTGCCAGCATCATCAATGTAAGATATGTAGGCTCTTCCTTGTCATGGCCCTACAAGTGTCTCATGATCTCCTGCTGCCTTCACAGACATGAATAACGGAAGGGTAGAAGATATGATTATAAACAGCCTGCCCTTTTTGTGATAAGGGATGATCTAGCAGTCAGGGCTTTGCTCATTGAGGTGGTTCATGGAAAACTGATTTTTCTCAAACTCCAAAACACATCATAAGAAAGCTTTGCTTCTGTACCTTTATCACCAAAGGGCTCATATTATGGTTGCAAATTCAGTTAAATATGTCTTTATCAATTTATCAGAGAGCTACCCTGAAGTGATAATAAAACTTTCTGATATGACCAGGGACACATTTAAGGGAAATGGTTCATCCTTTCATAGGGTGACCCCTATATAAAGAATTCCTTGCCAATAATTTTCTTTAAAGACCAAAAAAGTAATAGACTTTTCAGAAGGACTAAAGCATACCATCAGATTCTGATTCAACCATTTTAAATTTCTCATAAAATAGAATTCAATTTCATCACCCCTGTCCATCTTGTGTGAGTATTCCTCTTGCTAAATATATACATGAAGGCAACATTAAAAATCATTTTTATTATCATCATGGTTTTTATATTTTCTATTTCAAAAAAAGGAAATTTCTCAAAGTGTTCTATTTTATTTTTAATAAATACTTTGCAGAATCTTAATATGAATTTACAGTAGAATGCTTTTAAATATCTCTTATGATTATTCTGAAATATATTGAAATACATGAATCAAACAGAATAGTTTAATACATTGCTATTTTGTTATTTTTCATTATTCTAGGTTAATTTAAATTTTATTTCATGTTAATATTGGGAATATTAGAATGCTCCAGGTGATAATTTATTCATCAAATAATACAATTTATCATACAAGAAATGCCAATCAAAATCGCAATAAGGTATTATCTCACCCCAGTTAGCGTGGCTACTATCAAAAACACAAAAAAATACCAAATGATGGCAAGGATGCAAAAACAGGGGGAGCTCATACACCACTCATGGAAATGTAAACCAGTGTAGTCACTATGGAGAAAAATATGGAGGTTCCTCAAAAAACTACGACTTGAACTAACATATGATCCAGCAATCCCACTATTGGGCATTTACCAAAAGGAAAAAAATCAGTATATCAAAGAGATTACCTGTACCCCATGTTTATTGCAGCACTATCCACAACAGTCAAGATATGAAATCAACCTAGGTGTCCAACAACAGATGAACGAATAAAGACAATGTGGTATATATAAACAATTAAATACTATTTAGCCATACAAAAGAATGAAATTTTGTTATTTGTGTCAATATGGAAAGAACTGGAGGACATTATGTTAAGTGTAATAAGCCAGAAACAGAAAGTTATCTATCTCATGTTCTCATTCATATATGAATGCAAAATAAAAATCATAAAGGTAAAAAATAGAAAAAGAAAAATAGAACAAAGAATACTAGAGGCTGGAAAGAGTATGGGGAAAGGGAAGATGGGGAGAGATTTGGTAAAGGATACAAAATTACAGCTAGAAAAGAGGAATAAGTTTTAGCATTCTGTAGCACTGCAGGGTGACTATAATTAGCAGTAATATCTTATATACTTTCAACTAGCTAGAGGAGGATTTAAAATATTCCAATACAAAGACATAATAAATGTACGGTATGATGAATATGCTAATTACCCTGATGTGATCACTATATATTACATACATCAAAACATCACTAGTACACAATAAATATGTACAATTAGTACATCCAATTAAAAATTAAATTCACTTATGAAAACTAATGTAAAAAGGAAAAAATACAATTTTACCTTTATTTGATTGTAGAGCAAAAAAATATATAGCTCATGTGAATATAAAGTGAGGTTAACCCCAGTGATATCATCACATATAAAATTTCAAACTGTTTGATTTGACTTCAGAACTTTCAATGATCTGTAGACTTAAAATAATTGACTTCTTTTCAGTTTTTCTTTTACTGTACTGAACCTATGCTTTTTCACTATAAACAAATTATTCTTTTGCTCTCCTTAGCATCCTTTAAGGTAAGAAGTAACAAATTATTGTCACAAAATAATAAAATACTCAAATTCTGTTCAAATGATTAAGTACATATTAGACTTAGAAAATAATGAATACATTTCACTCTAAGTTTGTCTGTGAAATCATCTCGTATTTGTTTCTCAGTGGAAGGGCACAGTGAACAATTTGTTAGATTTTATATATATATATATATATATATATATATATATATTTTTTTTTTTTTTTTTTTGAGACGGAGTTTCACTCCGTCACCCAGGCTGGAGTGCAATGGCATGATCTTGGCTCACTGCAAACTCCGTCTCTCAGGTTCAAGTGATTCTCCTGCCTCAGCCTCCTGAGTACCTGGGATTATAGGCGCCCACAACCATGCCCATCTAATTTTTGTATTATTAGTACAGACAGAGTTTCACCATATTGGTCAGGCTGGTCTTGAACTCCTGACCTCGTGATCTGCCCACCTCAGTCTCCCAAAGTGCTGGGATTACAGGCGTGAGCCACTGCATTTGGCCTTGTTGGATATATTTTCATAAAAAATATAAATAAATAGAGAAAGAAAGAATAAAGGAGAGAGAAAGAAAAAAGGAAAGGAGAGGAGAGGAGAAGGGCAGATCAGGGAAGGGAAGAGAAGGGGAGGGGCCAGTGCAGTGGCTCATGTCTGTAATCTCAGCACTTTGGGAGGCTGAGCCAGGCGGATCCCCTGAGGTCAGGAGTTTAAGACCATCCTGGCCAATATGGTGAAACCCCATCTCTACTAAAAATACAAAGAGTTAGCTGGGTGTGATGGCATGTTTTTTTTACAAATATTATTTTACAAAAAAAAAGGGGGATTTCATTTTTTCCCATAGCCTAGCTAATATATTTGACCCTAATTACTTGAAAATAGTGCCAATAGCTCAATGAAGAAAAGCTGAAGGTATGGTACTAAATATTTTCAGAATTTATTAAATCTGAAATACACCCATTGATATGGTTTTTTGGCTCGGTATCCCCACCAGAATCTCATCTCAAGTTGTATCCTTAGTATTGGAGGAGGGGCCAGGTGGGAGGTGATTGGATCATGGGGGGCAGATTTCCTCCAAGCTGTTCTCATGATAGTGAGATCTCATGAGATCTGATAGTTTAAAGTGTGTGGCATTTCCTCCCTTGCTCTTTCTTTCTCTCCTGCCACCATGTGAAGAAGGTGCTTGCTTCACCTTTGCCTTGTAGCATAGTTGTAAGTTTTCTGAGTCCTCCCAATCATGCTTCCTGTTATGCCTGAGGAACTGCGATTCAATGAAACTCTTTTCTTCATAAATTACCCAGCCTAGGTAGTTCTTTACTGTAGTGTGAAAATAGACTAATATAGAAAATTGGTACCAAAAGAATAGGGCACTGCTATAAAGATACCTGAAAATGTGGAAGTGACTTTGGAACTGGGGAACAGGCAGAGGCTGGAACAGTTTGGAGGGCTCAGAAGGAGACAGAAAGATGCAGGTAAGCTTGTAACTTCCTAGAGTCTTGTGGCATGGCTTTGACCAAAATGGTGCTAGTGATATGGACAATGAAGTCCAGACTAAGGTGTTCTCAGATGGAGATGAGGAACTTATTGGAAACTGGAGCAAAGGTCATTCTTGCTATGCTTTAGCAAAGAGACTGATGCCATTTTTCCCCTGCCTTAGAGATCTGTGGAACTTTGAACCTGAGATGATTCAGGGTATCTGGCAGAAGAAATTTCTAAGCAGCAAACCATTTAAGATTTGACTTGGCTGTTTCTAAGAGTATATGCTCATATGTGTGAACAAAGAGATTATCTGAAATTGGAACTTATATTTAAAAAGAAGGAAGGGGCAGGCGCGGTGGCTGACGCCTATAATCCCAGCACTTTGGGAGGCCAAGGTAGGTGGTACATCTGAGGTCAGGAGTTCAAGACCAGCCTGACCAACATGGAGATACCATATCTCTATTAAAATATAAAATTAGCTGGGCATGGTGGTGCATGCCTGTAATCCCACCTACTTGGGAGGCTGAGGCAGGAGAATCACTTGAACCCAGGAGGCCGAGGTTGCAGTGAGCCAAGATCATACCATTGCACTCCAGCCAGGATGACAAGTGCAAAACTACGTCTAAACAAACAAACAAACAAAAAACAAAAAGGGAACAGTGCATAAAAGTTTGGAAAATGTGCAGCCTGACAATGGAGTAGAAAAGAAAACCCCATTTCCTGGGGAGAAATTTAAGCCTGCTGTATAAATTTGCATAAGTAAAGATGGGCAAAATGTTAATAACCAACACAATAGGGAGAATGCCTCCAGGGCATTTCAGAGACATTCATGGCAGCCCCTCCCATCACAGGCCTGGAGGCCTAGGAGGGAAAATTGGTTTTGTGGGCTGGGCCCAGGGCCCCATTGCCCTGTGCTACCATGAGACATGGCACCCTGCAGCACAGCTGCTTCAGCTTCAGCCACAGCTAAAAAGGGCCAACATACATCTCAGGCTGTGGCTTCAAAGGGTACAAGCCCCAAGCCTTGGCAGCTTCCACGTGGTGTTGGGCCTGCAGATGCACAGAAGCTAAGAATTGAGGTTTTGGAACTCCTGCCTAGATTTCAGAAGATGTTTGGAAATGCCTGGATTTCTAGGCAGAAGTCAGCTGCAAAGCGGAGCCCTCAGGGAGAACATCTACTAGGGCAGTGCAGAAGGGAAATGTGTGGTTGGAGCCCCCACATAGTGTCCCCACTGAGCCATTGCCTAGTGGAGCTGTGAGAACAGGGCCACCATCCTCCTCACCCCAGAATGGTAGATCCACCAACAGCTTGCACAGTGTGCCTGGAAAAGCCTCCGGCCCTCAATGCCAGACCATGAAAGCAGTCAGGAGGAGCTGTACCCTGCAGAGCCACAGGGGAGGAGCTTCTCAAGGCCTTGGCAGACTACCTCTTGCATCGATGTGCCCTGGATGTGAGACATAGAGTCAGAGGGCATTATTTTGGTCCTTTAATATTTAATGACTGCCCAACTGGGTTTTGGACTTGGTGGGCCTGTAGCTCCTTTGTTTTGGCCAGTTTCTCCCTTTCAGATTGGGAGGATTTATCCAATTTGTGTACCCCCACTGTATCTTGGAAGTAACTAACTTGTTTTTTATTTTATAGGCTCATAGGTGGAAGGGATTTGTTTTGTCTCAGATGAGACTTTGGATTTGGACTTTTGAGTTAATACTGGAATAAGTTAAGATTGGGGGACTGTTGGGATGGCTTGATTGTATTTTGAAATGTCAGGACATGAGATTTAGGAGGGGCCAGGGTTGGAATAATATGTTTGGCTCTGTGTGCCCACCAAAATCTCAACTCCAGTTGGGATTTTTAGTGTTGGGGAAAGGACTTGGTGGGAGGTGATTGGATTGTGAGGATTTGCCTCATGCTGTTTTTATGATAGTGAGTGAGTTCTCATGAGATCTCATGATTTAAAAGTGTGTGGCACATCTCCCCTTGCTCTGTCTCTCTCTCCAGCCACCATATGAAGAAGGAGCTTGCTTCCCTTTTGCCCTCTGCCATGATTGTAAGTTTCCTTAGTCCTCCCAGTCATGCTTCCTGTTAAGCCTGTAGAACAGTGAGTGAATTAAACTTCTTTTCTTCATAAAATACCCACTCTCAGTTAGTTCTTTTATAGCACAGTGAAAACAGACTGATACACCCATAAAAATAGTTCCTTAAAATTTAACTTTATTGCTTTTGCATTTATTCCTGTGGTAATATTTAACATTATATCAAATATTTATATTTTTTCAAAATAAAAGAAGCACTGAAGGTTTGTTAAAGAATGACCATGGCAAGCAATCCAATACCCTGTTTTATATTGTGTTCATAATTCCCATTCAGAAAGTTTGGTTTTACAGCAAGTTACTTTCAATAACTTTATTAATATACTTGCACAGGGAATGTATTTCTAACATGCCATTCCACAGAGTATTTTATGAAATAAATTCCATTTCAAAACTAGAGCAATCAAATGTAAAGTAAACTAGAGATAGATTTGCTAAAATCAATACACTATAAATGCTTGTTTTCTTTCAAGACAATAACATAGTGGTGTATAAAACAGGATAATCAGTATTGCAAAGAAAAAGACCCAAATACCAAATAAATTTTAAACACTTTCCTATCTATGAGGGGTGAGCACCATGGTTGTGAGTGTGTGTGTGTGTGTGCATGTGTGTGTGTTTACATTCTCCAACATGATGTAAAAATACATCATAAATAGTTTTGGAACCATCTGCATATGTGCGCTCTTCTCTGTGTGGAGAAAGCAAGAAATACAACAGAAAAAAAGAAAAGATGAATTTTTTGTAGAATTTAATCATTTCTTACTGTCAACAGAGGCAGAGGAATAAGCCCCAATTTCCTGTTACATCACTCTCATGTTGCTCTTCAGAGAAACATAACAAGCAACTGATATTTGCTCCAAGTTGGGTTTTCAGGGACTCCATGATTTAAGATCATACTCTAGCAGACGGCTGTGCAGGTAATGAGTGAATTGAGTCCCTAATGAGTGAATAGTGCAGAAAAATATAGTAGTTAGCTTTTGCCTTCTGCAACTTGTTAAGTGAGGTTGTTCATTACTTTTTTTCAGCAGTCAATCATGACAACCATTACAAATGACAACCATTACAAAGTCATTTTTAAAATTATATTTTAATTTTTAATTGGCTACTAATTTTATATGGTCTATGGAGTACAATATGTTTAGTTACATGTATAAATTGTGGAATGATCAAATCAGCTAATTAACATGTATAACACTTCACATACTTATCATTTCTTTGTGGTAAGAACATTTAAAATCCACTGTTTTAACAATTTTGAAATATACAATATATCATTCATTCATTATTATTAAGTATAGTCACTTTGCTGTGCAGATCACCAAGAATATTTTCTCCTATCGAATTGAAACTTTATACTCTTAACCAATATTTCTCCTTTTCTCCCCCAAAAGGTAATTTTTATGTGTTCATATGTTATCTATAAATCATATTATACATGGGGAAAGTGATATTTTATACATCTATATATTATGTCCTATCTGTGCTTACCTTTTCTATTTGTTCTTTAGTCCTCGAAGAATTTAATACTAATCAGCCAGGTGTGGTGGCTCACGCCTGTAATCCCAGCACTTTGGGAGGCCGAGGTGGGCCGATCACTAGGTCAGTAGATAGAAACCATCCTGGCCAACATGGTGAAACCCCATCTCTACTAAAAATACAAAAATTAGCTGGGCATGGTGGCATGCGCCAGTAGTCCCAGCTGCTCGGGAGGCTGAGGCAGGAGAATTGCTTAAACCCAGGAAGCAGAGGTTGCATTCCAGCCTGGCCACAGAGTGAGACTCCATCTCAAAAATAAATAAATAAAATAATACTAATCATTCAACATTAATACCATTTTTGCTGAGCACTTAATGTATACTTCAAATATACATTGTCTCTGCTAATCTTCACAAAAAGCTTGTGAGGACGTAGGTCTTATCCATTGTTTACAGATGGTAAATCAAATGCAGAGAAACTGACTCAGTTTCTCAGGGAAGGAAAAGTTATAAGTAAATTCTAAGTGATAATCAGGATTCAGGATTGATCTTCAAACAGTCTGATTTTCTAAACTTGATTGAGAAGGTAAGTGTCTTTTAATCCCTCACTGCTCCACATAAATCTCTCCTGAGCCTTGAGTTTCCAATTTCCTGGAGAATATTGCAATGGCTTTAAGTTGTTAGGTCTCAACCCACTTGTGCAGATAGTTCTAACTGAATTCAAGTAGAGTTACGAAACCCCCAAATCCACTGATGGTAGAAAAATGTGACAGAAAAATGTTCAGTCACTTCTTTGTCATTTAAAGCAATTTTTTTAGTAAAAGTTATCAAAAAACATGCTTCTCCTACTTCCTTCCTACTCCTTCTCCCAGAAAGTTACATCAAAGAGTTGGAGACAATGGCTAGGTTCTAAAGTGTCCTCAATTCCTCACTGGTACCACCAGCCTCTTTCAGTATGTCTCATCTTACCAGTTCTCTGAGTCAGCCTCTGACTTTGTAGGGTTCCCACCGAAGCATCCATGGCTGGCTGAATGTCAGCCCTCTCTCTTGGCCTTATGAATGCACTTTGCACTGGACCTGCTCATCACTTCCAACTGACAAGCTGCAATTAAAGACATTGTTGATCCACTGATGAATATTCAGGACTGTCCTGCACAACAGCTTGTGTTTATAGGTCTTCTGGGAGGGCACATTGGCCCTCAGTTATCAGCTTTCTTTGCCATGGCCATGATAAGTATCTTGGCTCATGTCATTTCTCATAGCAACCTGAAGAAAAGGGGACTGGGTAGAAGCAGACTTCTTCGGACTCACTCTCTCTCTTTCTGCCTTAACCTAGCTTGATGCCATTTTTACTCTATGGCAGCGTTACATCAGAAGCTATGATGTAGAAAGTATCAACAGGATGACCAACCCTCCTGGGGTGTCTAGGACTGAGGGGTTTCTGGGACACAGAACTTATAGAGCTAAAACCGGGAACATATTAGTCAAACCTGGATAGCTGGTCACTCTATATACAAGATAATATCTGAAAATCCTCACCAGCCTAGAGTGTCAAAGAGAGGAGAAGCTTTATGGCATGCAGAAGCTGTAAAGGAGAGTGGAAAAGTACAGATGCTGATGGGGGAAAGATCAAAAAACTATACAACTATTTGGGGTGAGAAGACAGAGGGCACTGTGGCCTGCATCAAATTATCCTTGTTTAGAAAGTTTGTACTCAGCATTCCAACAAGTGTAAAATATATTTTAAAAACATAATTGGTACCTTTAATGACAGTACAGAAATGTAGGATTAGTATGGCAAAGGTAAATCCCACAAAATGTATAGTGCATTTCTGTGCTGAAAACATTTTTTTGCCTCAAATATTGTACAAAGGTTTAAATATTGTAATGAGACATTTTTGACCATTTTTATAGCATTAATACATACAGGTGTTATCCATGGTAGTAATAAGCAGTAATATGTTGTCCTGTTAGACACTATTCATTTTATAAAGTGAACTGTTAGTTTTTATTTTCAAAATTTTTTGAAGGTTTTACTCTTTGCTAATTGTTAATATTTTCTCTTGATTGTTCTTAAAAATAATTCAGAAAGAGTGAATTCCTGCAATCATTTGTGGATTATTAGATGATTAAATCCTCCTTTATTTTGATTTTAAATATATTTTTATCTATATCTATGAAATATATGTAGAACTTCTAGTTATTTTTAACCTCTCAGTGTTAATTCTGCACTTACTGTACAACTGATTACATGTTGAACTAAGAGCATAAGTGTAATTAAATTATTAGTTATATTTGCCTAAAAATAGGATGATTTTGCTTATACAATTTGTTTTATATAGACACATTATTTTCATTAGAACAGTAGGCAAATTTACTACAGAATTACTTTCAAGTAAAATTATGTACATAAAACTATATTTACAAATACCTAAAAATAAGTTATTAATTGGACTTTGTACAAATAGACTAAGAGAAGTGGTGATAAGTAGTGTATCATGTCACTAAATCCATGAGCTGATTTCACACTACAATAATTAGTGATGAGTCCAAAGGAATGTCTCGCTTGAAACAAGTATCACCTAGCCCCAAATCCTGTATCTCTTGATAGCTACCCGTTGTCTCATTACAACTTCAGACTAATTTTTTTTCTTTTCTTTTCTTTTCTTTTTTGAGATGGAGTCTCGCTCTGTCGCCCAGGTTGGAGTGCAGTGGAGTGATCTCTTCTCACTGCAAGCTTCGCCTCCCGGGTTCACGCCATTCTCCTGCCTCAGCCTCCCGAGTAGCTGGGACTACAGGCGCCCGCCATCACGTCTGGTTAATTTTTTTGTATTTTTAGTAGAGACCGGGTTTCACCGTGTTAGCCAGGATGGTCTCTATCTCCTGACCTAGTGATCCGCCGACCTCGGCCTTCCAAAGTGCTGGGATTACAGGCGTGAGCCACTGCGCCCGGCCAAGACTAATTTTCTACTATCATTGGTGATAGAGTTTTATCTTTTCTCCCCATCCAAATTGATTACTCTTTGCCCAAAGGGTAGACTCTTTATTTAATAAAACAAAAATAGACTTTAGCTCCATCTCCCATTATTCTCCTAGCTGGGTGTTGATGAAAGAAAAGAAATCTGTTGTCAAAAGAGATGTAGTGTGTACTGACTTTTTCTCACTCCAAACTGCAGTGGAGGGAATGATAAAACTGGGTTTGTGTCCTTAATTAGAGGGAGAAAAGTAATTCCACTGGTGGATTTCTATAGGCACAATAATTGTAGCATGGACTGGGTGCAAGTTCTGTTTCCTCAGTTTGCCACTGAGAGAGGATTGTCGTAAACTCTTTCCTTTGTAGAGTTGAGTCTAGTCATGTCTCTAATCAAAAAAAACCAAACACCCAAGTTCCAGGCTATCCAAGCAGTAGTACCCCAGTAGTGATAAATTTCAATTTTATTGACAAAATCCAATAATCCTCTTATATTTTGATGTTGTCATTTGCCCCTACATTGTAATCAAGTTGTATTAGTCTGCTTTTAATCCAAGACACAGAAGTTTTAACTTATTTAGAGGAGAGTATAGTGGCTAGTGAGGTAAATGGGAGAATGTCCAGGCTTCCAAAGGGGTTTTTCCCAGGATCCCTATCAATGAACTGTTGGAGCAAAGAACAAAGCACAAGACTGACACTCAACAAATAACTCGTGCGTACTAGATGAGACATGTCTGTGTTTGACGTGTTAAGAAATTAATCTTTTGGGCCGGGCACAGTGGCTCACGCCTGTAATCCCAGCACTTTGGGAGGCCGAGGCGGGCAGATCAGGAGGTCAGGCGATCAAGACCATCCTGACTAACACGGTGAAACCCCGTCTCTACTAAAAATACAAAAAAACTTAGGCGGGCGCCTGTAGTCCCAGCTACTCAGGAGGCTGAGGCAGGAGAACGGCGTGAAGCCGGGAGGCGAAGCTTGCAGTGAGCCGAGATCGCGCCAGTGCACTTCTGCCTGGGCGACAGAGCGAGACTCCGTCTCAAACAAACAAACAAAACACACACACACACACACACACACACACACACACACACACACAAAGAAAAAAAGAAAAAAAATTAATCTTTTGTAGATGTAGCTGTGCAGTAAAAGAAGGAACAGAACAGGTGGAGTGAGAAGACATAAAACCCACTTATTTACTGATTGATACAGTGGTATAATATTCATTCTGTCAGTTAGGGGAGTGGGATAAAACCATTGGTTAAGCAGATGCATACATTTTAAATGATACAAATTAAGACGTGATAGCATAGTTTTTCTACCAAAATGTGTATTCTACTATTCACTCACACAGTCAAAACATACTTGTGTATTTAATGTGCCACTCCTCAATATGCTGGAAATAAAAAAAAAATGCATGTCTTTTGCCACAAAATATTTAGTCTTTTGATAAAGAAAGTTATGGTAAGAGATAATTCCAAGGCAGTGCACTAAGAGTTATAATAGAAGTCTGAACAAGACGTGTGGGAGCAGTGAAGAAAATTAGTCAATTTTCCTGAGACAGTCAGGGAGAAATCAACAGGACTAACTTTTCAGGTTGGAGAAGGATTCCTCTATGGGGAGATGATAAGGAAGCACATTTCTTACAGACAAAAAACATCAGGTCATAACAGAGTATGTCTTCCTTAGAAAACCGAATGTTGAAATGTGAATAAGAGGTAAGGATAGAAAAATATATTGAAGACAGGTAATAGAGCACCTTCAATGTCACCCTAAGAATTTTTTATTTTATAAATCAGATATTAGTTTGGGGTCTGTACGTATATGTGAAGATCCATCTACCAAGTCTCAAAGAAGGGATATAAATGAGCCTAAGGCCAAAGTGACTCTATTAAAATTTTCTTTCTCCCTAGAAAACTTCATCAGGGAGTATCACATCTGTTAAAAAAAAAAAAAAAGCACTGATGCTTTGTATTTTTAAATTCAGAAAATTTTTTGACTTTGATTTGTTATTGTTATTTTAAAATTATCTGTTTCATGAGAAAATATTCAGGACTTTATTTCTACACTTATGATTCAAAACAAGACAAAAGTTCATGTAAGAATATTTTATTGTGAACTTCATCTAAGATGTATTCTGTGCTGAGTAAAAGGACACTCTGTAGTGGTTTTACATGTATAACGCTCCAATTTTAATAAGGTTCTGTTTTCAACTAAAATTAAAGACAAGTTGGAGATATATAATTGTCCTTGTCCTTTAAAACATGAAAGGTTATTTAAAACTTATAGATGTGATTATAAAAATGTCATAAATGTGCTTGATAAATCAGCACACCTTAAATTTGAGGAAATAATCTTATATCTAAGGTATCTGAAACCAGGCTATAAGGCATTATGGCTTGAATTCTGCCATGGTCCCATTCCCATTCATATTCTATGTGCATCTAATGCTTAAAAAAGCAAGATCCTTATTCAAATAAAAGTCTCAGACTGAAAATGAGTAGATGCCTACAAACTTACATTAAATGGAAAGTTAATGTTTTAATCATTTGGAGTTCAGTTTTTCTACTGCTGCAAACTTTAAACATTGCCATAAAGTAAATATAAAATCCAAAAAGTTTCAAAATAACTATATGGAATTGGACTTTAAAACAAATTGTGAAACAAAATTTTCATATAAAATAACAAATATGGAATGTTGAATACCTAAAGAATTTTGGGGGTCAGTGTATGCATGGATTATGATAGAATATACTCATATCTGTTTGGAGTAGAAAAATATTTAATAATTTGCTAATGATTTGCTAGAGAAGAATTTCAAATAGAACAAGTCTCAATGTAAGTGATTATTTTGATGTGGGTTTGAATGTACTTTTATAAAATTTGTATTAACTTATAGATTCACAAAATGCATTTTACATAAATGAACTATAAATTTATCTTTCATTTTTTATAGATTTAAGGGTTACAAGTGCAGCTTTATTACATGGACATATTATACAGTAGTGAAGTCTGGGCCTTGAGTGTAATAATCATCTGAATAGTGTATATTGTGCCCATTAGGCAATTTCTCATCCCTCACCCCCCTCACCCTCCCACTGTTGTGAGTTCCCAGTGTCTATTATTCCACTCTCTATGCCCCTGTGTACACATTATTTAGCTCAAACTTACAAGTGAGAACATGCAGTATTTGACATTCTGTTTATGAATTATGTTGCTTAGGATAATGCTCTCCCATTCCATCCATGCTGCTGCAAAAGACATGATTTCTTTTATTTTTCTGGCTGGATAGTATTCCGTGTGTGTGTGTGTGTGTGTGTGTGTGTGTGTGTGTGTGTGTGTGTGTATGTATGTTCTCAAGATTTCTTATTTTTGTTTAGAATAGCTTTTGCTATTTAGACTCTGTTTTGGTTCCATAAGAATTTCAGGACTTTCAATTCCTTGAAAATCAATAATGGTATTTTGAGAGGAATTACACTGAATCTATAGATTGCTTTGGGGTTTCTTCCAATCCATGAGCATGAGGTATTTTTCAATTTGCTTGTGTCACCTATAATTCTTTTCATCAGTGTTTTGTACTTTGTCTTGTAGAGATCTTTCACCTCCTTGGTTAAATGTATTCATAGAACATTTTCCATAGGTTTTTATAGGTATTATGAATGGAACTTAGGTCTTTATTTGTTCTCAACTTGTTTGTTATTGATGTATAGAAATGCTACTGACTTTTGTATGTTGATTTTTTATCCTGAAACTTTACTGATATCATTTATCAAATCTAGGAGTCTTCGGGAGTAATCTTTAGGGTTTCCTAGGTATAAGATCAACTGTCAGTAAACAGAGCTAATTTGACTTCCTCGGTTCCGGTTTGGATATCTTTTATTTCTTTCTCTTGCCTGATTGATCTGGCAAAGACTTCCATTATTGTGTTGAATAGTACTGATGAAAGTGGGAATCCTTGTCTTGCTCCAGTATCTTAGGGGGAATGTTTTTAACTTTTCTCCATTCAGTATGATGTTGGCTTTGCGATACATGGCTTTTATACTTTTGAGATAGCTTACTTCAAGCTTAGTTGTTGAGGGTTTTTAATCATAAAGGGATTCTGAATTTCATCAGATGCTTTTTATCAAATGTTTATGTAGTGAATCACATTTATTATTTGCATACGTTGAACCATCTTTCTGTAACTGGAATGAAACCTACTTAATTTTGGTGTATTCTTTATAATGTTCTATTGAAATTGGTTTACTAGCATTTTATTGAAGATTTTTGTATCTATATTAATCAGTGATATTGGTTTGTAGTTTTCTTTTTTTGTTGTGTACTTGTCTGGCAACAGTATCAAGCTGATACTGGCTTCATAGTACCAGTTAGGAGGAATCCCTCCTATTCAACTTTTTGGAACAGTTTCAGTAGGATCAGTCCAAATTCTCCTTGTATGTCTGGTGGCATCAGCTGTGAATCTGACTGGTCCTGGGTTTTCCAGAGAGATGTTTAAATTACTAATTCTATTTCACTCCTTTTTATTGGTCTGTTTAAGATTTCTGTTTCTTCCTGGTTCAATATTGGGAAGTTGCATGTTTTCAGGAAATTATTCATTTTCTTTAGATTTTTCTGGGTTGTGAATGTATAGCCATTTATAGTAGTGTCATTTATACAGGTGTGATGATATGTTGTTAATTTTTGAACTTTGTATCTTTTTGATGTAAGCATGTAACACAATAAAAATACCCTCTTGGCACTGTTTTTGCTGTATCCCAGAAGCCTGAGTATGTTATGTTTCCATTTTCATTTTTTCAAGAAGAGTTTTAATTTCCAAATTAATTTCATCATGTACCCAAAGATCATTCAGGAATAGATTGTTTAATTTCCTTGTATTTGTATAGCTTTCAGAGTTCCTTTTGGAATTGATTTCTAGTTTTATTCCACTGAGGTTAAAAATATATTTGATGTGATTTTAATTTTTCCAAATTCATTGAGACTTGTTTTGTGGCCTAAAATATGGTGTCTCTTGGGGAATGTTTTATGCACTCAAGAGAAGAATATATATTCTGTGATTGTTGGGTAGCATGTTCTGTAGACATCTATTAGGTTCATTGCAATGGAGTCCATTTTAAGTTTAGTGTCTCTTTGTTTTATTTCAATGATCTATCTAGTGCTGTTAGTGGTGCTGAAGTACTTCAGTAGTATTGTATTGCTGTCTATCTCTTTTATCTAGTAGCATTTTTTGTATGAATCTGGGTGCTCTGGTGATGGGTGGATATATATTTACAATTGTTTTACTTTTTATTGAATTGAACCCTGTATCATTATCTGATGACCTCTTTTGTCTTTTTTTTTTTTACTGTTTTTTGATATAAAGCCTATTCTATCTGATGTAAGTATAACTACTCTTGTTCTCTTTTGGTTTCCATTGGCATATCTTTTTCCACCCCTTTACCTTGAGTCTGAAAATGTCTTTATCAGCTAAGTGTGTTTCTTGAAAGCAGCATTTGGCTGAACCCTGTTTTTGTTTTTTGGGTTTGTTGTTGTTGTTGCTGTTTTCCATTACACCAATCTCTATCTTTTAAGTGAACACTTGGTACATGTTCAAGGTTAATATTGATATGTGAGTCTGTTCCTGTCATAGTGTTTTTACCTGGTCGCTTTGCAGTCTCAATTGTATACTTATTTTATAAGACCTGTGAGTTATACTTCTGTGTGTTTTTCTGATGGCAAGCATCACCCTTTTATCTCCATGTTTGAACTCCTTTGAGGATTTCTTGTAGGACCAGTCTAATAGTGATGAATTTCCTTAGCATTTGTTTGGCTGAAAAAGACTATTTCTCCTTCATGTATTAAGCCTTGTTTAGCAGTATACAAAATGCATGTCTGATAGTTTTTTTCCCTTTAAGACTGAACATAGGGCCACAGTCTCTTCTGGTTTATAGGGTTGTATGTTTCCAGGAATGTATCCATTTTCTCTAGGTTTTTAAGTTTGTGAGTATGCAGCTGTTCTAGTAGTCTTTGATGATCTCTGTATTCTGAGGTATCAATTGAGAAATCCACTTCATCTGATGAGATGTCCTTTAGAGGTGATTAAACACTTTACTCTTGCTGCTTTTAGTATTTTTTTTCCTTCATGTTGACTTTAGATTGCCTAGTAACTATATGTCTTGGTGAAATCCATCTTGCAATGTATCTTCCTGGAGTTCTCTGAGCTTCTTGTATCTGGATATTTAAATCTTTAGCAAGACTAAGGTAGTTTTCCTCAATCATTCCCTCAAATAGATAGTCCAACCTTTTTACTCTTCTTCTCCCTCAGCAATACCTATGACTCATAAGATTGGACACTTTACATAATCACATATTTTTTGAATGCAGTGTTTATATTTTAATATTCTTCTTTATTTTTGTCTGACTGGTTTAATTCAAAATATCTGTCTTCAAGCTCTGAAATTCTTTCTTCTGCTTGGTCTAGTCTGTTGTTAAGGCTTTCAACTATATTTTGTAATTCCTTCAATAATTTTTTCCTCTAAAAGTTATGTTTGTTTATTTTTTAAAAAGCTGTCTTTTCAGTGGATTTTTAATTCATATCCTGAGTCATTCTCTTTCTGATTTATTTGTGTTAGCTTTAACTTTCTCTTGGATCTCACTGAGTTTTTTTTAAATCACATTTTGAATTATTTATCTGGTATTTCAAAAATTTAATTTTGGTTAGGATCCATTGCTGAAGAGTTAGAGTAACCTTTGAGGGCTTGTAACACGGTTTGTTTGTTTGTTTGTTTGTTTGGTTGGTTGTTTTCATAGTTCCAGAATTGTTTATCTGTTTCTTCTCATCTGGAGAAACTGTCTATTCTTATTTTTAATTTTTTTCTTAATGAGTCACATCCTTGAGGATGTGATTATAATGTATGTTGTGCAGGGTTCTTTGGCTTTGGTTCTGGGTGCTTTAAATGGCAAGGATTCAGTATAAGTTCATTGGTTACAGATAGCCTTGTGTGGTGGCTTTCTCAAATCCTGGTTGTAGTAGTGATGTCCTGGGAGTGTGAGCAGACTTGCTGCCACATATGGGGCTGTGATAGCAGAGGTCTTGGCAAGTTTATGTTGTTCCTCAAGTCTGAGCACTCTTGTCAGCAGATTTTCTATTAGGTTGTGCAGTTCCACCTCCAGACAAATAGGTGGTGTTTACAGATAGGAGCCAACAGTGGCTGAAAGAGATGGGTATATGAATGATCTTTGTTAACCATGAGAAACTCAGTTTCCTCAGGCAATGGGCTAGTCTGTGCTATGCCCTGTGGCCTTGTCTCTGTGCTCAGCCCCAGAGTGGGGGACAAAGCTGCCTGGAGCTGGACCAGGCAGGTCCACCTACAGGTATCTCAAAGGCAGGTGCAAGCACCAGCTCCAATGAGGAGTCCGGGGGCAGCCATTCAACACCCAGACTTGTGCCCGGGTGTGGAGTGGAGAAACCTCCACTCCTCCAAGTTCTCTGCATTGGAAGAAAGGGGTGACGTGGACTCCTAACCGGGAAGTATAGTTGCTTCAAATGCCTGGAGAGATATCTAAGTGTGGAGTGGAAAGAGCACTGCTCCACCAACTCCTCTGCGTGGGAGGGGTGGGGCAGCTTAAGCTCCAAAACCAGGGGAGCAAATGTGCCATATGCCTGGAAAAACTCTGCCCAGGCAAGGAGTGGAGAAACTACTGCTGCAACAAGGTCTTTGCATGGGAAGGGAGGGGCAACTCAAGCTCCTAATCCAGGTTGGCAGGTGTACCAAAAGCCAGGAGATATGCCCAGGCTTGTAGCATGAAAACTGCCACTGCATCAAGTTCTCTACACAGCAAAGGAGGGGCCTAAACTCCTAATCTAGAAGAATAGGTGCTCCAAGTGCCTCGAAATTTGTCAGAATGTGGAGCAGAGACAGTGCTGCTGCACCAAGTTCTTGGCATGGGAAGGGAGGGGCAGCTCAGGGGGACTCTGCCCCTCTCATGTACTGGGGCTCCTACTTTTCTCAGCCGAATGCCTCCATGCATGCTGATCACCCACCTTCTCTTGTCTAAAATCTGAAGTGTCCTTTGCTTTTCAGTGAATTCCCATATACCTTCTATATACTCTCACAGTGTTAGTCTCTATGCATTATCTTGCTATTTCCAAGTGGATGAGATGCTCTAAAAGCCTCCAATCCAACATCGTAGAAGAAAAGAACCCTAAAATGTAAATTTAAATAACCTAGAAATTCTTCTTATGCTGCTATGCCTTATTTAAAATTGTAATTTTAAGCTGATCCATCCAGCTTTATGCAGATCACATTCAAATGTATAACCTTAGCTCTTATCTTTTCTTTTTTTTCTAAAGTAGTTTTCTTTGGATGACATATTATAGTAAAAAAAAATTATTTACCATTTAGCTTCTCTGTAATATTTCAGAAAAAGAAAGCTTTTTTTTTTTTACTTTCCCTCTTATTTGCTGTAAAATTACTACTCTCAGTGCTCTAAACTCAAAGCCATGGTTTTATCTTTTTTCATTTATTCTTTATTCTCAGTCTAACTAATCCTATTACTCCTTAGATCTATGTCCAATAGAAGAATCTAGGAATTTATCATTTGACACCTGGGTAACAGAGAAGCTGACCTAAAGTACTTCTTTTGCTCTCTATTTTATTATAATTTTAGCTTTCAGCAAAATATTCCCAAAATATAGCTTTAAAAATAACTAGATAATAAAGTATTAAATTACTTTGGAACCTTTTTGTAAGAGATATTATGTTCACAAAAAGTGGAGTTTTCCAAAATAAACCAAGCAAAGATGAATTGCTTATATTCTGTAGTCAAATTAATCCCAAATGACAAAATAAAATTTTGTAATGAAACACAACTCTAATAATCTATTAGAAATTATAATACTTCTAATAATATTAAAAGATATAAGTAATGAATTACTATAAGGCATTCTATTATTAGCAATATTAAAATATTTGCTATTATATATTACGTACTAGCCTCTAACTTCCTAAATGCCAGCAGTTACTCAAATATTAAAAATCAAAATATGTATGAAAAAAAGACACAATGGCACAGTGATTGTGACTGTGGACTCCAGAGTAGACAACCTGGGCTATCGATTCCTGTTCATAGTTTCTAGTCCAAGTTGTTCAAATCTGCTTTAGTTTTTGATGGTATCTGTTCAACAGAATCAAATTTCTGCAGTCTGTTTTAAAGATTTCTATTTTCTAATTTAGCAAGACTTGCTAAAATGTTTTTTTTTAGAATAGTCGTTGAATTATTCAACCTGTAGAAGCAGCAGAAGAAGTTCATATGGTTTTATGAATACTAAGAACCCAAGTATGTGACCTATACTTTGCAGTATTTGACATGTGATAAATTTTCAAATGTAAGTAATTAACCATTTCTTGCTTAGCTATGCCTTAAACAAGTGGGCCCTAATCTGACTCAACAAAACAATCTAAGTAGTTCTAAAGTCCATGTTCTTTGATATTAGAAGGCATAGGCTTTTAAAAAATTCTGAGTGTTGTAACAAGGTCTTAAATAAATCAGATTTTATAGAAAGCATAGAGCTAGGTGATCAAATGGTGTACAAAAGGTATAATCTACATCAATAGTCTGTTACAATTTTTATTAATGTAATTGTATATCTCATTTTCATTTTGATAAGAACTAGGGTTTAATATACTTGCCCATAAAATCTCTTGTATACCATATTTTTTAAATTATGAAATTACAATTTTCTAAATGGTTCCAAACCTGAATCTTTGGAGCAAAGTTAAATATGTGGCATTAGGCCAGGCATGGTGGCTCACGCCTGTCATCCCAGCACTTTGGGAGGCCAAGGCGGGTGGATCACCTGAGGTCAGGAGTTCGAGACCAGCCTGGCCAACATGGTGAAACCCCGTTTCTACTAAAAATACAAAAATTAGCTGGGCATTGTGGTACAACCCTGTAATCCCAGCTACTCGGGAGGCTGGGGCAGGGGAATTGCTTGAACCTGGGAGGTGGAGGTTGCAGTGAGCCGAGATCATGCCACTGCACTCCAGCCTGGGCAACAGAGTGAGACTCCGTCTCATAAAACAATAAAAAATTAAAAAATTTTAAATAGTATGTGACATTATACATGCTATCATTCTTTTGCTCTTTTAGACTTTGATCTCCTCTTCCCAAGCCCACTTGGTTAATTACAATATATAGAAGCTTCAGATTCCACTGTGTTTTCTCAATCACTGTCTTCTCTAGCTCCATAGCATCCACAGATACCCTTCCTTCTGGGAACACAATGATAGATGAGTTATTTTGAAAAAGCAAATTGAACTTTCTTTAGGTTAAGTGTTTGGAATGTAGATGATACTGAGCTATAAATGCCAATTAATGCTAATGCCTTAGATTCTCACAGGAGTGCAAACCCTATTGTGAACTGTGCACGCAAGAGATGCAGGTTGCAGCTCCTTATGAGAATCTAATGCCCAATCTGAGGTGTAATGAAACCGTTCCTCCTCACCCTGTCTGTGGAAAAATTGTATTCCATGAAGCTGGTCGCTGGTGCCAAAAAATGTTGGGGAGCGCTGCTCTATAACTTTCCTACTTAGAGTAGCTGGAATGCCAGCATATTTGAAATGTGTTGATGTGTGTTTATTATTACATTTATTGTATTTCCTGGTGAATCACATGTCTTTAAATATGTAGCACAAGAACAAAAGTTACCCTGAATAATGTTCTTGGCTTTGTAGGTATCACACAGTACAATTTCACTGCTAATCCAATAGTTAGTTTGTAGAAATCTATGTTCTCCACACTCTTAGCAGTACTGTATTCTTGATGACATTTATTTGGGACTACCTTGGTTGGTATAAATGACAGATATTGGAAATAAATATGTGAAAAACATCAAAGAGAAGTAACCAACAACTGACAAAGTGTATGTTCATCAGCAGACATAAAAACAGAATTTTAATTTAAGTGACAAATGCAATTATCCCACTCCCAATCATGTATTCCTTTTTTGAGAGACTTTGTAAAAGATAAAGAAGGTCATTCTAATTCTGTGCACAAACCCTAAAGCACAAGTATAAAGAACCAGAATTTTCAATGTAAATCCCTGAATGTGCTATGTCTTTCCCCTAGGTACACTAATGGCTCAAACAGATCAGAGAGAGAAATGAAGGCGCTATTAAGTGATTCTAGGGCTGGGCATGGTGGCTCACGCCTATAATCACAGCACTTTGGGAGCCTGAGGCAGGCAGATCTTGAGGTCAGGAGTTCAAGACCAGCCTGGCCAACATGGTGAAACCTGGTCTCTACCAAAATACAAAAATTAGCTGGGCATGGTGATGCGTGCCTGTAATCCCAGCTACTCTGGAGTCTGAGGTAGGAGAATTGCTTGAACCAGGACCGGGGAGGCGGAGGTTGCAGTGAGTGGAGATTGCTCCACTGCATTCCAGCCTGGGCTACAGAGTCAGACTCCATCTCAAAACAAAAACAAACCAAAAAGATTCTGGGATTACAGAACTACAAGGTCAAAAATGACGCCAACATAAGGGTTACCAGAAAGAAAAATGCAGAGAAGAGAAAAGATTTCAAATAAGCATTGGACTAATGGAATGACTATGGGAAAGCCTTCTCTGGAAATTAACGGTAGTTAAAAATTACTCTGGACCTAGATGATATAACCCATTGATCCTTACCAAAAATTACAAAGTAGTTTTACTTGCTTTTCATCATCCAGTTATAAGTTTACACTCACAAAAACTAACTTAAAAGTATGTTACTCTAACTGTTGTTCTACCCAGAGAATAGTTACAGATGGGTGGCCTGCAGAGTGGTTGTAGTGGTAGAAAATTTGTATTCCCCAAGCTGTTGCTTTGAGGAAGACAGCTCCAGGCAGGAAAGCTCTTAGCAGCCAGAAATCTGAGTACTCTTCTGTTTCCAGTACCATAGACCATAGCAGAATTAATCAGCCATAGCAAATTGAAATGATTAAGTTTTCCAAATTCTTATAATCATAAAA
This sequence comes from Homo sapiens, assembly GCF_000001405.40. Lineage (NCBI taxonomy): Eukaryota > Metazoa > Chordata > Mammalia > Primates > Hominidae > Homo > Homo sapiens. The sequence continues at coordinate 64,746,854 of NC_000006.12, read as the reverse complement.
TTGCATGTATATTTATGACTATGCCAAAGGGCATTGGACAACCTACAGGAGGATTTTGAGTATCAGGATTATTAGTGATGGATGAACTGACAAAGTTGCTTTATCCTCCACAAAAGCACATCAGCCTATATACAGTCTGTATGGAAATTGCTAAAAATAGACCTTGTGGTGGAGCCAATTCAAAATGCTTAAGAGGTATCAACATGAAACAACATGATGGATACTAGACATCCAGTGATTCCTAAATTCTTTATTCATGTTCTCCTATGACTTGTTTTGGTTTAAAAAACACATAAATGTGTTACTGTAGTGTTATATTGTAAATGTTTAAAAATCAAACCTTAGTCTATTTATGACGCTGTAACCGACTACCACAGATGCGTTATTTTTTTAATGAACATATATGTATTGGCTCATGGTTCTGGAGGCTAGGAAGTCCAATATCAAGGGGCTAGCATCTGGCAAGGGTCTTCCTGCTACATTATCTCATGGTGAAGGGCAAAGAGAAGGCAAAGTAGGGGTGACAAACTCTTCTTTTCATAAGGAACTCATTCTTGAGATAATGAACCTTGACAATAGTATTAATTAATCCACTTATGAGGATGGAACCCTTATGGCCTAAACATCGCTTAATAGTCCCACCTCTTAATATTGTTACAAGGGCAATTAAATTTCAACACGAGTTTTGGTTGAAACTCATGCTGAAATTTAATTGCCCTTGTAACAATATTCAACTTTTATTTCTCATACTTCTAAATTTTTATTTGGGGTATTGCTAGTCAAACCACAGCAATACTTCAAATAAAAAATTTAAAGTATGAGAAATAAAACTTTCAATGTTTTCTTCTTATATCCCAGCAGTGCCTGTTCTGCATTCCCTAAGGTACACTCTAGCCTTTGGAGGCTACTACTCAAGGACTTCCTAAGGATATGTGTGATGCTTGCAATGAAATGGAATGAGATCAAATGTATAACATATATCCCTCTACTTTATTCAAGGGAATCAGATTTGATTCTTCTCTACACTTAGAGCTGCTTTCAAATTTTATTCCAGATAAACAAAACAAAACAAAAGCTATAATGCTTGCCAATGGAGAACCTTTATAAGATTTCAAAAACCATAAGAAATTTTCCCCTTCTGGATTTTTGGACATAGGGGTACCATTTTTCTGGATTACAGTGGCTAATAAGTTTTAAAATATTATTGCTTAAGTAACTGCTTATTTTTATACATAGTGGTACCATTTTTCTGGATTACAGTGGCTAACAAGTTTTAAAATATTGTCGCTTAAGTAACTGTTTAATGAGTAAAGTCTATTTTTGGAAGGTTATGAAAATATTTTGGAACCTTGATAGAGGTGATGGTTATACAATATTATGATATACTAAATGCCACTGAATTTTACAACTCAAAATGGCTAAATTTTGTTATATAAATTTCACTTTAATAAAATAGTTAAATATTCATTAACAAAATAAACTGCATTTTTTATTTTGCACATTTTAATTCACTATTCACCTACTAAGCCCATAAATGACTGCCATTTTGTATATTGACATTTATGTACTGACTTTTAAAATCCTGGTTTTCTTAACATCTTATTAATAACATGTATTTTTATTATACATATCTCAGAACAGTCATTGTGATGCTTAGAGAGTTTTTTCAGAATTTTTTAGGAAAACTAAATTGAAGTATTTTTAGAAATGTTTCAAAGAAAAAAATGAAACAGTTTTCTTTTTGAAATTGTGTGAAAATGTTATCAAATATGATGAGCGCACTCTGTCTTCCCATTAGGACAAACGAGGGCTGTAGGGTGCATGACACACTGTTTCCCCTCATGCTGCTTATGAGAGTTTTAGAGAAGTAAGAAAATATACATAGAAATTTTTTCATAACTGTTCCAGAGTTTTTAATAACAAACATCTATTTCAAATAATTTGGCAATACTGAGAAGAAAAATCTTTCCAGTATATCTGGAAATAATGTTTAAGAGCTTTTAGTGTGCAATTTTTGTCAAATATTATTTTTTTAGCAATTCGCATAATTAAAGTGATTTTTTCTCTACTTTTTAAATTTAAAATAAATGTACCTGAGATAAAAATTTCTCAATCATATTTTATTTCTTCTTAAAAGGGAACTGTTTTTTCAGTGTATACACTCTAAAACTAGCATTACTTTTAATCTGCATATATAATGTGCATGCATTTTGGTACACATACATGTTTTTAGTTCAAGTTTTACTAAATTAAAGTTTTAATAACTAATTTTGTTAATATAAATGCCAGATTGTTTAACTTTTAGTCTACTTCCGTAAATTCTGATACTGGTTGCGTATAGACATTGAAACTGTACTATAGTTACTATATTGGCTAGGAACATGTGAGAGGAGTCTTAGAAAATGTCTAGAATAACCCAATATTGGGCAGGTGATAAGATGCCTTGATTGGGTCTCTTGAATACAGCCTCCAGAGATTCCGTATTGGCTTAGAAGCACAAAACAAGCAGCATCTGTTTCTCACTCCAAGTCTTACCCAACTTGGGATTTAAGTCTCTTTTAACTGGAAAATTGAATTTATAGATTAGTGGTGTGGAGCCCCAGTGGTTTACGACCCATTTTCTGATTTCTTTACCAACTAGAATTGATTCAATAATGCTACTAGGTGATTTGCTTAAAAACTGTGTTGTTTCTAAAGCTCATTGAATGGCAAAATATGCTTTTTTTAAATATTAGAAACATAAGATTCTTCGTAATAGCTTAATTTAGGCCAAGATTGCCAATTAAGCCACATATTTCATCAATATTTTAATGTCATGTAAAGACATGAATGTAGAGAATGTATACCAAATTTTACAAAGAGTCATCTATGCATTATAGAATTATTCTAGAAATAGAAAATGATATGATAGTATTCTCTATTTTAGAGTAATGTAACAATCACTAAAGTTTGATAGCCACTTGTATTTCATCTACAGAAGAGCAGTACTTTGGTATCATTTCCCCCTTATTAATTTGGTATTGTGCTTTGTTCCTTTTAAGTTAAGATTATCAATTATTTTCTGACACTTTTTGTAACAATTCTAAATATTCTAACCCTTATGTAATGTGATAGTATTTCCAATAAAATAAACAAAAAAATCAAGTAACTTCTCCAGAACTTTGGATATTTAAATCAATGAATTTATAACACTCTTACTTTTCACAAATATCCTAAGTTATTTCCATGCTGTTTGATCTCATGAGATGAAAAATGTCTTTTACTGTAAAATAACTGCAGATACTTTGAAAAGCAATCAGAACTGCTTTTCATGGACCATTCTGTGAAGATAACTTTCAAAAATATCAATAGTTAAGAATGCTCTTTACCATTAGAAAAAAAATTGAAAATTGACAGTAAATCATTATTTACTATTTCTATAACCAATAAAATTTATATGGAAGTTTGCCAAATATAGACTTTCATTTACATAATTGTAGCAATTATGTGGTTTGGCCAGATGTGAAATTAAAAGGCATTTTAGATTGGGCCTGGTGCCTTTTGTCTTTTGTCACCTACACATGTCATATTTATGAAATCACCCCATGGTTCTGTAGGCACTACCAGTAAGGTTCAAAAAAATTATAGACTTATTTCTATAAAATAAGTAAATCTTTAAAATGTAATTTTATAGCAGATATTAGTCTTATGCTGTAAACTTAGGTTTATCACATTTGTTCATTTTGTTTCTGCTTGAATGTCACCTCGGTTTCCATCTCATTTCACTAGAAGATAATTCAAATGAGGTCATTTTTAGATGTCTACTCTGTCCTCAGACAAAGAAGTAAATCTTAGCAGATAGCACAGTATGGGAGGAAAGAGACTAAATCCTTTAATCTTAAGTCTTCCGTATTCACTACTAAATTTTCTTATTTGCAGTTAACCTAATTCCTTTATCACCGGTGATTTTGTGGCTTTCATACTTGCCTCGTAATGTGAGAAGCTTTGACAAAACTGAAAAACTGAATGAATGACACGATTAAGCTCCCTGTGTGCATCATGGAGCCATTCCCTCTGAGGTCCTGAAATTCTCAGGGGAGTATTTCTTTCTTGTTGTTAAAATTGTCTTATTTAAATATGATTGACATGTAAACAGTTGTACATACTTAATGTTTACAACTCAATAAGCTTGAGAATAAGTATGCACCTGTGAACCCATCACTACCATCAGGGACATAACCACATCCATCACTTCCCAAATTTTTCTACTGCCTCCTTTATTATTACTTGTGTGTATGTGAAGAACATTTAACATAAATTCTACTCTCTCGATCAGTTTTAAGTACAGTCAAACTTCATCATATTACACTTCAAGATAGCGAAGTATTTAGTAACCCTGTTTTGACCAATTTTATTGACACCATTTTTGCCACAGTAGGTGCTCATTTTGTGTTTCTGGGTCACTTTTTGGTAATTTTCACTATATTTTAAATTTGTTCATTGTCATTAAATCTGTTACAGTGATCTATGATTAGTGATCTTTGATGCTACTATTGTAATTGTTTTGAGTGGGCCATAAGCCACACCCATATAAGATGGCAAACAATCAGTAAATGTGTGTTCTGACTACTCCACAAACTCGCTCTTCTTTAGCTCTCTCCTCTCCTCAAATCTCTCTATTTGGTGAGACATAAAAATATTAAAATTAAGCCAATTAATAACCCTATATTGATATCTAAGTTTTTAGGTGAAAGAAAGAGTTACATGTGTCTCACTTTAACTCAAAAGCTAGAAATGACTAAGCCTATTGAAGAAGGCATATGGAAAGTCAAGACAGGCTGAAATCTGGGCCTCTTGCACCAAATAGCCAGGTTTTGAATGCAAATAAAAAAAAATATTTGAAGAAAATTAAAAGTGGTTCTCCAGTGAACGTGTAAATAGTAAGAAACAGAAGCAGCCTCATTGCTCCTAGGAAGAAAGTTTTAGTGATCTGGATAGAAGATCAAACCAGGTATGACATTCTCTTTAGCCAAAACTCTAATCCAGAGCAAGACCCTGACTCTCTGTCTTCAATTCTGTGAAGGCTGAAAGAGGTGAGGAAGCTGCAGAAGAAAAATCTGAAGCCAGCAGTGGTTGCTTCATAATGTTTAATTTTTTAAAAAAGCCATTTCCATAACATAAAAGTACAAGGTGAAGGAGCAAGTGCTGATGTAGAAGTTGCAGAAAGTTATCTAGAAGATCTAGCTAACATAATTGATTAACCAAATAACAGATTTGCAATGTAGATAAAATAGCCTTTTTCTTAGAAGATGCCACCTAGGACATTCACAGATAGAGAGAATTCAGTGCCTGGCTTCAAAGCTTCAAAGGACAAGTTGCCTCTTGCTAGGGGCTGATGCAGCTAGTGACTTTTAGTTGAAGCCAATGCTAATTTACCATTCCAAAAATCGTAAGGCCCTTAAGAATTATGTTAAATCTACTTTGCTTGTGCTCTGTGAATGGAACAAAGCGTGGATGACAGCACATTTGTTTACAGTTTGCTTACTGAATATGTTAAGTCCGTTTTTCAGACTTACTGAGCAGAAAAAAAATTAAAAATATTATTGACGAGGGGCCTGGTCACCCAAGAGCTCTGATGGAGATGTACAAGAATATTAATGTTCTCATGCCTGCTAACGTAACTTCCCTTCTGAAGCCCATGGATCAAGGAGTAATTTTGACTTTCAAGTATTATTATTTAAGAAATACATTTCATAAGGCTGCAGCTGTCATAGGCAGTGATTTCTCTGGTAGATCTAGACAAAGTCAATCAAAAACCTTCTGAAAAGGATTCATCATGCTAGATGTCATTAAGAACATTCATGGCCAGGCGCGGTGGCTCACGCCTGTAATCCCAGCACTTTGGGAGGCCGAGATGGGCAGATCACGAGGTCAGGAGATCGAGACCATCCTGGCTAACATGGTGAAACCCCGTGTCTACTAAAAATACAAAAAATTAGCCAGGCGTGGTGGCTGGCGCCTGTAGTCCCAGCTACTCAGGAGGCTGAGGCAGGAGAATGGTGTGAACCCAGGAGGCGGAGCTTGCAGTGGGCCAAGATCATGCCACTGCACTCCAGCCTGGGTGACAGAGCGAGACTCAGTAAAAAAAAAAAAAAAAAAAGTGGACATATTCTTTCTGGACAGACTCTGGAATTTTAGCTGGATGTTCAAAGTTACTGTGCAATGACAGGCATGTATGATAATGTGTCTCACAGACATATGGGAAGTGACAACCAGAGTAGAGCCATCACCTTACTTTGTTCTGTGGTGTAGGTGCTCTATGGTCTCTCCTCTGCTTAATTATGCTAGAATATAGGTTTGCTTAGGTACCAAAGTAAACTAAAATAAAGATTAGCATTAAAAGTTATGGACACAGAAACTATTTTGCTCTGCTTCTATAGATCACCTGTTCTCCAAGGTGAATAGAATATATAAGCTTTTAATGAGTGTTTGAAATACAAGAAACTAATAATCATTTAACCATTATGTAGATTCCATGACCTAATACTGAAGTATAAAACAAAGATAATTCATTCTCATATTTTTTTTATAATTTGAAAATATAGTAGAAACAATAGAATAAAGTATTTCAAGATTTAGGAAATGTATTAGAACTGCTCATAACTGTATTTTATGTAAATTTATTGTGATTATGTAGATTGTGCTGGGGGTTCTGATGAGGAGGAGAAAGAATACTTTCTCTTCATACTTTAAATGCTTGAAGAAAGTTCCTAAGACTAGGAAAAGAAATCAGTAAGTTTTATTAGCAATTACCATTTAGTTACCTCTCCCTAGAAATACACCCCCCACCAGATTTTTGATTGGTTTGATTTTTTGCTAATGAGTTCTAAGAGTTTCTTATATTTTTTTATTATTAACACCTTAGCCTAATGTGTGTAACAACTATTAACATAAAATAAGAGTTTAAAAACATTATTTCCTATTCACTTATTTTCCTAATAATAGTATTGTTTATATTTCCCCTGCCCCTACAAAATGGATGAAGGAACCCTAATAGGGTTATTCTAGGACCCTAACATTTATGTAAATTACATTTTAGAATTTCTGAGAATTTGAAGGAATGTCGGTATTGTTTTAAGGTCCTTACAGAATTTTGTGGTAAATAGAAATTTTTTAATATTATTCAGGAAAGCAATCAAGGTTTTTATTCTAGGTGCTTCTGTTGTATAGAAAAGTAATGGTTCTGAATGGAATTACCTAGCAAAGAACAATAGGTACAACTGGGATATAGAGAAAATAAATTTGAATACTTTAGTACACATGCAATCTGTCTGATACGATTAGAGATTAAGATGCCTAAACAGATCTTTCTGGTAATAACATTTTGATACTAGCACCATAGAAATTATTTTATATGTGGTCATGATCATTATTGCTAAACTTTAGTCTTTAAAGAAAAACCTGCAGTTTAACTCATAAAAATAATTATCTTCCTTGGTTGGTATACACAGACAATTGTCCTTAGTTTTCACCTTTGTCTCTTGTTTAGATTTTAAACTACTATATTACAAGTTCCTCCAGTAAATGGCATCACAGCATGGTTTTAATTTCTTAATGTGAGTGAATAGTTTTAGTTTTCAAAAACAAAATAGTGATTATCATAAATTTACTGAGATGTGACTGAAATGATTGTTGCATGACTAACCCATCTACCTTGTATGATGAAAAAGAGTATTTGATTGTCTGAGGCTATAGAGGTCCAGCTCAGTAGAGTGAAAAAAAGGACACTCTTGTACAAACAGGAAGAAAAAAGTACTGTTAAATTACTGGACAGGCATGGTGGCTCACGCCTGTAATCCCAGCACTTTGGGAGACTGAAGCGGGCTGACCACCTAAGGTCAGGGGTTTGAGGCCAGCCTGGCCAACATGGTTAAAATTAAAAATACAAAAATTAGCGGGATGTGGTGGCAGGCATCTGTAATCCCAGCTACTTGGGAGCCTGAGGCAGGAGAATCTCTTGAACCTGGGAGGCGGAGGTTGCAGTGAGCCAAGATCGTGCCATTGCACTCCATCCTAGGCAACAAGGGCAAAATTACATCTTAAAAAAAATTACTAAAATTTGAGTCTTTTTCCTTTTTTGCATGGCCTTTCTCTCATCTTGTCATGATATTTTTAAAATTGCCACTATTGTTGTTTTAAATAAAGAAAAATTAAAATTTTCAAATATGAACATAGACTAAACTGTTCATTTTCTATTGTGCAATGCCATTTCCTATACAAATATAAGGGCCTTTAACTTGAAAGTAGCATCACCAAAATTCCACAACACATATTTTATCCTGCATTAGTCTGTTTTTCACTGCCATAAAGAGCTACCTGAGACTGAGTTACTTATAAAGAAAAGAGGTTTATTTGGCTCACAGTTCTGCACCTTGTACAAGCATGGCACCAACATCTGCTTGACTTCTGTTAAAGCTTTTGGAAGCTTTTACTTATGGAGCAAGGTGAAGGAAGAACAGACCTGTCACACAAGGAAAGAGGAAGCAAGAAATGTACCAGCCTCTTTTAAACAGTCAGACACACGCTAACTATTAGAGTGAGAACACATTCATTACTGTAGGGAGGGTATCAAGCCATTCATGAGGGATCCAGCCCCATCCAGCCCTTTCATGACCCAACAACTTCCCAGACCCCATCTGCAACATTGGAGATCACATTTCAATATGAGGTTTTGAGGGGACAAATATCTAAATTACATCAAATCCTTATCAGAATGGTGGAAATACTGCACAAACTAACACAATTGTTTTTATTTCATTCTCGATAGTACACATGCTACCAACCTCTATACCTTTAGCATAGTGATAAGCTAAAGAAAGACTATAAGGAAAAGGAACCATGGCTTTGAGCATCGATGGTTGGTTAATACAGAGGAGTAAAACAAATAAAGGATATGGAGAGTTTTTCATTCATGATAGAACATCATTGCATTATTTCCACAGTTAAAGCAAGTATTGCTCAAATGGAAACTGTGACCTCTTGAGAATGTCAGTGCTCCCTTTCCTTATCACAGTTACTCGATGGTTCATGCAACACTCTGACTTTGTAGTAGATCTGAGTCTTCCTGAACTCCTGCATGTTGTGGATCCACAAGAATTCTGTGTTCATAAGAAACTGGGCATGATGTCTACAAAGGAAGCAGCTCTGCTCACTGGCATGTTCCATTGTCCTATCAGACCTATCAGACCTCACTTGCAAAACATACATTCCAAGATAAAAATGTTAAAAATTTCAAGATGGTGACAGCAGAAAATGAAATTACACCAAATGCCAAGCTTGTGATGCCATCTTTGTGGCTGAATCAGCTTTAGGAAAAGAGAGGTGAAAGTTTCCAGATTTTGCTTCAGAGAAATGTTTTGCAATGATCATTGGATAATGAATTACCATTGTTTTTCTCTACCAGGTTAAAGCGTGGTTGCATTTGGTTTAAAATGGACCGTTATATAACATCATAAATTATATTTTACCCAATAAAACTTGGTCTTTTACTAAAGTAGAGCATACAGTTAAAAAAAGAAAACTGAATATTGAATTAGGAAAAGAAAAGAATACTGATATCAATGATATTTGATTAGGCTGTTTTGCTAAAGAAATGCATTTTATGATTTTTAAAGATGCACATCCAGAAACTTTTTATATCACAGTGGATTATTATAAGATTTCTATCACAAAAAATGATATTGGTCTTCATGCAGGTAGTAAGCTACAGACACATCTTTTATGTGCCTAGATTCAAAGGGATGAATAAAAAATAGTACATTACATTGTTTCTTCACAATTTGGGTGACACACAATTTGAAAGGCAAACTATACTAATATAAAATGAAAATACACAATGAAACATCATAAGGTAATATAAAATGATAAATTGTATTCTTCTGTTTCCTAGAAAAGGACACGTCCCTCACATTTTTATACAATTTTTCTTTGTAGGAATTATTGTGAATTTTTATTTTATGTTTCTTTGTGTGATTACCTTATTCTCTGTCTTCTTCAATAGTAAGCTTCCCTTATCTGATTTTGCTCACTCGTGTATAGTCCAGCCTTGACTCAGTGTCTGACACAGTGGTGAGAACTGGCATATGCACTTAATAAACACTGCTAATTCAAAAATATAGAAATACCTCAAGCAGGACTCATTTCGCAATAGAAATATAATGTTAAAAACAGGAAAATATTTGACTTACCAGGAAAGACTCTACAGAAAAGATAAAATAGTAACAATTACGAGAATGGGCCAAAGGGAGGAACAAGTTTGGGGAAGCTTTTGTAACCAATACTCTGTAATGATTCTAGCAAAAATACTTTAAAGTAGTTTTATTGTCACTGAGTCATAGAGTTAGTGCAATACCACTAAAAGAGTAAAGACTGTTTTAAGAAATTAACATTTCAGTTATTTCTTCAACCACTCTTTAGAGAATTTTATTTTGAATATATCTAAAATATTCTAGGAAGTCAGTAGTTTCCTCATTGTTCATTCAATACTCAAAAATAGAATTTTATTTTTAACTACATGATTTCTATTTATATGTAATGTATTTAAGTATCTCATTTTTATAAAAGGTAATATTCATAGAAGTTTCTTAAAACATGTAATGAAAAGGGAATGGAAAGAATAAATTCAAATCCAGTGTGGAATGTTTCAAAATTGTTAAAATTTAAATTGTTATATTTTCAGTGAATTTACTGTGAATTTTTATTAACCAGTAGTATATGCTATCAGAAGAAAACCTTTGTAATAATATAGAAAGGGCTTGAGAATTTCAGTAACTAATTTTCGAGCATACAACCAATTGCATATATTAGATTTAATTCATCTTTTATAGAACTTCAAGGACTAAGCTATCGGTTTGATTGTAACTGAAATATGTAACTCAAAAAAGCTCTATTTCAATTAATCTAATTATATGCTTATGTTTTCAGTCTCCCAGTGTGATCATAGTTCTTTATTTTGTCTTTATTTCCATCCTCCATGAAATAGGAATTTGTATCTATTGGTTATTATATTATACACATTAGTAAATTGCTACCTAACAACTTCATCAATAGCCAAACTACATTTATGTCAAAAAATAAATACTTTTGTCAGACACTATCCATCAATTGTAACAATTGTAAATATTTCTTTTTTGATATGTCCCTAATACCATTAAGGTTTCAATAATATATTATTCAAATGTGTACAATCATTTTCCTTTCAGTTTAAGAAAGTGAAATCAAACTCATATACTTTACTTGCTATGTAGTAGAAATACTTAAATAAGACAAAGTATAAGTTATACAATTTTTTTCAAATTTTGTGTTTTTTCTTCTCATGGATATATTATTATCTGAAAGGAGTATATTCATGCAATTTTCAGATCAGTTGTGTCACTATCCAAATTTAAATAAATAAGATAGTGCACAGGAGGCAGAAAAAAAGGTCAGAAAACTGGCCGGGCACGGTGGTTCACGCCTGTAATCCCAGCACTCTTGGAGGCCAAGGCAGGCTGATCACGAGGTCAGGAGATCGAGACCATCCTGGCTAACACGGTGAAACCCCGTCTCTACTAAAAATACGAAAAACTAGCCAGGCATGGTGGCAGGCGCCTGTAGTCTCAGCCACTCGGGAGGCTGAGGCAGGAGAATGGCGTGAACCCGGAAGATGGAGCTTGCAGTGAGCAGAGATTGCACCGCTGCACTACAGCCTGGGCGACAGAGCATGACTGGGTCTCAAAAAAAACAAAGTCAGAAAACTTAACCTATACTGTACCATAAAGTAAGTCATTTAGACTAGACACTTCAGTCTTATAATATAGTGCATATTATGTCTTAATCACCTCATTAACATATTTAGGTTTATATAAGCATACCTCTGTGCAACATATATTAGAGAGAAAGAACTAATAGAAAAATAATAGAATAATAAATATAGAATTCCTATTGTTCTGAAATCATAGTTAATGAGAATGTCACTATATACAAATACTCAAAAGATATATTAAAATTAAGAAAAATCATAGTGTTCTTGATTTTGTTCTTTATTTCTGAGAGGGCACAGTAATACCCCTTCCTGTCCGTGTGAACATTTTCTCCAATCTCTACTCTTCCCCATGTGGACACATGTGCGAGCATATACACACTTTCTAGTGTAGTTTTAGGTAGAATTTATTTTTTCCTTGAGAGAGAACTTAGAGAAAATGGAGCAGAATGGCCTCAACTTTTACAAAAAATTGTAAATGGCTAACAGAAATACTTAGAAATAGTCATAAACAACTTACAACAGATTGTCTACACAAACCCCAAAATTTTTTATAAGGAGATTGATTTAACTTATTCTGATTTCTATGCTCTTATAGCAATATTTTCAGTGGAAAAAATCACATCAAAACACTTGCAAACTAAAAGTTGTGCCTATTGCATATGCCAGATATCTAGTTTTTCTCTCCAAACACAAATTGCTAAGGAATACTTCAAAGCTTCAAACAAAACTTAAAAAAAAAATAAAAACATGCTAGAAATATTTTTTTCTATAGATAACTTACATGGATAATAAAAGGAATGTTTCTTAGAAGTAAAGGTTACAAAGTGCTTATTCGCTTTAGTCCTCAACAAAGCTTTTCTGAATTATATTATTTATTGAAAATAGAATTTCTCCATATGGCCAGCAGTAAATCTATTTTTTTGTTTGTTTCTACTTGTTTTTTTTTTTCCCTTAAAATATCTGCAATATGGGCAGAAGATTCGTGATTGGGTAAGCACCACAATATAATATTGTTACTAGGATTTGTCATCTAAGGGTTTCGTTTGTTTTATTGTTTTAAACGTAATTGAAGGTATCATATTTTGTGGTATTTAAAAAATACTTCTTCATTTCTTTAAAAAATAAATTAATATAGCTTGCTCCCACCGCCATGGGACTGGTCATCTACAGTTCAGAAAATTTAGCCTATGAGGAGGATATGAGTGAGACTAAGTCAGGAGCCACAGAGAAGCAAGAAGGCCACAGTGATTGTTGCCATAAGCGTGCTGGCTACCATCTTTCTGGCTTTGTTTGCAGTCTTGGTGGTGGTTTGAGTGCAGCGCTACTGCTGGCCAGGAGACCTGCTGCAGCGCTATGATTCTAAGCCCATTATGAGTCTCTTGGGTGCCATGGAGACCCAATCTGAGCTCTCTGAGTTAGAACTAGATGATGTCATCATCGCCCACTCTGGCATAGAGCCCATTCTGGAGAATGAAGACTGGATCTAGGATGCCTTGGGTCTCATGTCCCACTGCATTGTCATCTTGAAGATTTGTCACACTTTGAGAGAAAAACTTGTTGCCATGACAATGGGCTCAGAGGCTGAAAAGAAGACTTCAACCACTGTCAGCAGCATCATTGTGGTGGCCAAGTGGATCATCCCCAGAGTAGATGATGTTGTGAAATCAGTGTACCATCTGTTAAGCACCAAGCTCCTGGATGTGAGTATGACTGCCCTGCTCCTGTCAGTCATCAGGTGCTGGTAACCAGAAATGCCTGCCATCTGAACAGGGGCCCCAAAGCACTTGGAGGTGCTTTGAGAAGCAGCCTTGCCTTCTGAACCAGATAAAGACCTCCCAGGCCCTAAAGCCTACTTGCAGGAGCAGTTGGGAATTTATTGCCTGTAGGCCAGCAGCTAGTCATGAAAGCTAGCAAGAATGGCTTAGATGAGCCTTCCACTTTTTCCTGTAGAGTTAGTTGTTCTCCAGGGCTCAGGAATGTGTGCATAGCAAAGCAGGAGAGTCCTATCTGGTGATGCCATTGTTGCAATTACAAATTGTGGCTGGTGAGAGGCAGTCTAATACCACAATTAGGGGATATGCCATTCATCATTTGCACAACACAGCACTGAAACTGATAGATGGTCAGCTTTATTTAGATTACCTAGTGTTTTAGAGAAAATTGTGCTACCATATAAGAAATCTAGAGGTTTCACGTTATACATCAGAATTTCTGGCTTCTCCTGAACAATCAGATTTGGCAGTTGTGATTTGTGTTTTCAAACGAGAACAATCAGTTGGAGTTAAGTAGGGATTGCCTCTCTTGGCAAGACTGTACTCTTTTTTGCCTGTTTCATTTATTTGTATTATCTGCCTGATCCCTGAGGTATCTGAGCCTGTCCTGTTATTTAGAGGTTTGGGTTTGAAGCTGAGCACTATGAAGTTTATTATTTCCTTTTATCCTTATGCCTACAATTTTACTATACGCCACTAGGTATACAGTAAATTTATACTTACGATTCCCTCAAAAAATAAGAATTCAAAAATAAAAATAAATTAGTATAATTCATATGAATGTTGTTTTTTATCTCTTTTACTTTTTTTTAAATTTCTGCCATATCTAAGATGTTTATAAACAGACTATAGGGCAAACATTTGCAAAGGTGTATATGGAATGCAATTAATGAGCTAACAGGAATTTGGCAGTAGAAACACTAGTGTGTTAAAACATTTACAGTTTTCTCTGCAATCCAGTCCAGGAGGTAATAACATCTTTTTTTTTTTTTTAATACTTTAAGTTCTGGGATACATGTGCAGAACATGCAGGTTTGTTACATAGGTATACACGTGCCACGGTGGTTTGCTGCACCCAGCAACCCATCACCAACATTAGGTATTTCTCCTAATGCTATCCCTCCCCTTGCCCCCCAACCCCGACAGGCCCCAGTGTGTGATGTTCCTCTCCCTGTGTCCATGTGTTCTCATTGTTCAACTCCCACTTATGAGTGAGAACATGTGGTGTTTGGTTTTCTGTTCCTCTGTTAGTTTGCTGAGATTGATGGTTTCCACCTTCATCCATGTCACTACAAAGGACATGAACTCATCCTTTTTTATGGCTGCATAGTAATCCATGGTATATATGTGCCACATTTTCTTTATCCAGTCTAACATTGATGGGCATTTGATTTGGTTCCATATATTTGCTATTGTGAACAATGCTGCAATAAACATGTGTGTGCATGTGTCTCTTTAGTATAATGATTTATAATCCTTTGGGTATATGCGCAGTAATGGGATTGCTGGATCAAATGGTATTTCTGGTTCTAGATCCTTCAGGAATCGCCACACTGTCTTCCACAACATTTAAACTAATTTACATTCCCACCAACAGCGTAAAAGCATTCCTATTTCTCCACATCCTCTCCAGCATCTGTTGTTTCCTGACGTTTCAATGATCACCATTCTAACTGGTGTGACATGGTATCTCATTGTGGTTTTGA